>NC_000021.9:45007128-45161024 GCF_000001405.40 Homo sapiens
TCCTACGGGTTAAGCTCCGAGTCAATCAGGCAAAGATAGTCTTGCAAGTAGAGTCTTCCACGGAACAGAGAGGCAGCTCAGATAATGACAGTTCTCCGGGAAGAGGCTTTGGGGGAGCTCGGCTTCAGTTCTCCACCCCAGTGGCTGCTAGGATATTGCTTTTCACTGAAATTTCATTCCTCACTGCAAATCTTTGGTTAATTTCCAGAGGTCTGAAAAAGCCGATTCTGATCATTTTTGCCAGCGTTCTCATTGCTTTCATCAATGAGGCTTTTTGGACGTCCTTATCCTGCCATTTTGCAGTCGTCATTATCTAGAATTTTAAAAACAGAGGTAATACTGACGTGAAATAAACACACTTCTAAAGCATGCAATTTGGCAAGTTTTGACATGTGTACACTTATGAAAACATCATCACAATCAAGATAACGAACCTATGCAGCACCCCCAACATTCCCTCTTGTCCCTCTGTGCAACCCCATCCCCCTTCTGCTCTCCGAGTAACCCCATCCCCAGGCAACCACTGATCTGTTTCTGTCACTATAGATTAGTTTGCATTTTCTAGAAACTTGTATCAGTGGAATCATCCAGTATGGTTTTTTGTTGTTGTTGCTGTTGTTGTTGTTTTGGTTTGTTTCTTTTGGTCTGGCTCTTGTCACTCAGCATGATTATTCTGAGATCCGTCTGTGCTGCTGTGTGGATCAATGTGGCATATTCCTATTAGGATTCCATGGTATGGAGAGACTGCAATGATTATTCTGAGATCAATCTGTGCTGCTGTGTGGATCAATGTGGCATATTCCTATTAGGATTCCATTGTAAGGAGAGACTGCAGTTTGTTTACCGGTTCCCCTGTTGCTGGATATTTGGGCTGTTTCTAGTCCGTGGCCACTGCAAACAAAGCTGCTGTGAACATTCGTGAATATTTGTAGACAAGTCTTTGTATGGACGTATATGCTTTCATTTCCCTTGACAAAAAACTTAGGGTCAAAGGTCTGGATCCTGTGGGAGGCATATCATTAACTTTTTTTTTTTTTTTTTTTTTGAGACGGAGTCTCGCTCTCCCCCAGGCTGGAGTGCAGTGGCGCGATCTCGGCTCACTGCAAGCTCTGCCTCCCAGGTTCATGCCATTCTCCTGCCTCAGCCTCCCGAGTAGCTGGGACTACAGGCACCCGCTACCATGCCCGGCTAATTTTTTTGTATTTTTGGTAGAGATGGGGTTTCACCATGTTAGCCAGGATGGTCTTGATCTCCTGACCTTGTGATCCGCCCGCCTCGGCCTCCCAAAGTGCTGGGATTACAGGCGTGAGCCACCGCACCTGGCCACATATCATTAACTTTTTAATAAACTGTCAAACTGCTATTAAAAGTGGCTGTTCCATTTTCTGCCCCCACCAGCAGTGTCAGTTTCTCCACATCCTCAGTTATTTGATATCTTGGTCTGCTCATGCTGCTCTAGCAAAATACCACAGAAAGGCGGTGGGGGTTAAACCACAAAAGTTAATTTTCCCACCGTTCTAGAGGCTGGAAGTCCCTGACCAAAGTGCTGCTAGATTTGATTCCCCGTGAGGGCTCTCTCCTGGCTTGTTGACAGCCACCTCCTTGCTGTATCCTCACAGGGCCTTCACAAGTGCACACATGCAGAGAAAAAAGAGCAAACTCTCTGGTGTCTCTTCTCATAAGGACACTAATCCTATTGGATCAGGGCCCCACCTCTAGGACCTCATTTTACCTTAATTGCTTCCTTAGAGGCCCATCTCCAATACAGCCCCACTGGGGGCTAAGGCTTCAGTATACGAATTTTGGAGGGACACAGACATTCAACCATGACACTCCACATCCTCATCAACACTTGATACTGTCAGTCTTTTTCATTTTAGCCATTTTAATGTGTGGACAGTGGCATTTTATGGTGGTTTTAATTTCCGTGGTAACTAATGATGTCGATCATCTTTTTTTTGTGTTTTGATCTGAATTTCTATGTCTTCTTTGAGGGATTTTCTATTCAAAACTTTTGCCCATTTTTTAATGGTGTTATTAGTTTTCTTATTATTGAATTTTGGGAGTTCTTTAAGGCATGCTGGAGTCTTATCAGATTCATCATTTGCAAATATTTTCTCCTGCTTTGTTGCCAATCTCTTCATTCTCTTAAACATGTCTTTTGCAGAGCAGAAGTTTTACATTTTGATGAATTCTAGTTTATTCATTTATTTTGGCGTTGAATTTAAGAAATTTCTGCCTAACCTACAAAGATTTTCTCATATGTTTTCTTCTGGAAGTTTTATAGTTTTAGGTTTTACATTTAGATCTATAATCCATTTTGAGTTCATTTTTTATATGGCCCTGGGGTATAGATCAATGTTCCCTCTTCCATGTGGCTATTCCGTTGTTTTAGCACTGCTTGTTGAAAAGACCCTCTTTTCTTCACTGAGAGTCTTTTGTCAAAAACCAATTGTCCATGTGTGTATGGCTCTATTTCTGAGCATTTTATAAACACACTGTCTTGGTTACTACAGCTTTATAAAGTCTAAAAATCAGCTAGTGTAAATCCTCCAACTTTGCTCTTATCTTCCAACGATGTTCTGGTTGTTATAGGGCCTTTGCCTTTCTATGTGAATTTTAGAATGAGTTTGTCAAATCCTCTTCGAAAAAAAAGCCTTTTGAGACTTCAGTTGGGATTTTGCTGAATGTGCAGATCAATTTGGGGATAACTTCTGTCTTACGCACATGGAGTCTCAGCCCATGAAGATGGTGTAAGTTTTCATTTCTTATGTCCTCTTTCGTTTACTCAGCAATGTTTTCTCATTTTATGTGTACAAGACTTTCACACCTTCTATCAGATTTATCCCTAGTTCATAATTTTGATGTTACGACAAGTGTGTTGTTCTTTCCATTTTAATTTCTGGCTGTCCGTTGCTGGGGTATGGAAATGCAGTGACTCTTGGCATTGATCTTGACCTTGCAACCTTGTGATGCTCACTCTTCAGCTCCAGCAGCTTTTTGTTTCGTGAATTCCATTAGATTTTTTTGCATAGATGAACTTGTCTTCTGCAAATAAAGACAGTATTATTCTTTTCTTCCCAATAACGATGCCTTTCATTTTCTTTTTTCCTTCCTAATTGCCCTGACTAGAACCTCCTGTGCAATGCTGAATGGGACCATTGAGAGTGCTGTCCCTGACTTGTTCCTGGCCTCAGGGGAAGCACTCAGTCTTTCACAAGTAGGTGTGATGTCAGCTGTCGGGTGTTCAGAGATGCCTTTTATCAGGTTGAAGAAGTTGCTTCTACTCCTGTTTGCCAAGAGTGTTTTGAGAATGCATGTTGGAATTTGTCAAATGCTTTTTCTGTGTCTATTGAGACAATCACATTGTTCTTCTTTCAGTTTGTTAATATGGTGACTTAAATTGATTTTTACGTGTTCAATCCTTAAGACAATCCTGATATATTGGGGAAAATTCTCCTTGGTTATGATGTATCATCTTTTTAATATGTTGTTGGGTTCAATTTAGTAAGCTTTTGTTTAGGACTTCTAAAGGGGGATGCTTGTTCCTATATTCTTCTCCTGTAATGTCTTTGGTTTTCATATCAAGATCATGCTGGCCTCCTGGAAGGACTTGAGAAAAATCCCTGCTTTTCAACTTTCTGGAAGAGCTTATGTAGAATTGCTATTAGCTCTTTCTTAAATGTTGGCTGGAGCTCCCCTGTGAAGCCGTCTAAGCCCGGGGTTATTTTGTATGTGAGAGGGGAAGATTTTTAACTACAGATTCAATTTGCTCATCAGCCTTCTGCTGCCTCTCAGGGGCCCTCTGTGCCTTTCCAGGGTTCTCGCTAGGTGCAGCTCCCCTCTCTCACCCTCTGCCCTGCAAGCTGTGGCTGCCTTGGTCTCCCCGACTCTCAGCGTCCTCAACTCAGGAGATCCCTGGCTCCACCTGCGTCACCTCCCAGCACTGTGACCTGGAAACTCTCTCCGGGAGGTCGGCCGGGCCCTCAGAGGGCTCATCGCGTCCGTGTCCCATTTCTCGGGTCACGGCTCCTTTTTGTCTGATGCCCATTGCCTTGAGGACCCTGGTTTCAATAGTCTTGTCTCTTATTTAGTTGTTTTGGGCAGATAAGTACATTCAGCCCCTGTCACTCCATCTTGTCTAGAAGTGGAAGTCTACTGTCTTTTATTTCTTTCACTAGAATAGTAATTTAATACATGTTTATTGTAGGAAATCTAGAAATACAAAGATACATGAAGAAAATGGTAGGAATCACTTATAGTCTCACCGACAGCTAACACGTTTAGTGTTCTCAACAGCACAATATTCTCCATCTCTGCTGAGACCCATCCCAGCAGAGGGGTGCCCGCACGGCGAGGCCGGCACAGGCCCGCGTGGGACCCACTGCCAACGCCGAAGCCAGGGTGTGACCTCTAGCTGCAGGGCCAAGGCACTGAGGGGCAGCCCCACTCACCCCTCCTTCCAACCTCTCCAGCAACAATCGGTGAGCCCCGACCCTGCCTGGAACCCTGGGGCCAGGTCGTCTGTCTGGACAGCGGCCTACAGGGAACGCACCAGAAGGTGTGGTGGGGTGGTGCCTCCCACCAAATCCACCAAAATTTGAGGAGCAGCCGCATCAAGCCCCTTTCATTGCACGTCTGAATCCCCACGCGTGGCGTTTCCTTAGAGGCAATTTCTGAAAAAGGGATTTCTGCTCAAAGTGTGTGAGCCTGTCAGGCTCTGCCCAGTATGCCAAGTCTGCAGGACCGCGTCACATTTGACCAGATAATTATTTGGGAACAGCACCCGCATGGAGCAGCCCCACAGAAGCTTCGAGCCCACACCTGGGTTCTGGCCCATTGTGTTCACGCCCCCCACACCCCGCCCGACCCCAGCTGCCGCAGGAGGGCCGGCTGATAGAGGTGGTGCAGACATTGGTCCTCACAGCCGGGCAGCCTTGAGGGGACCACACACCGCCCCGCCCAGGGCCTCCAGCACCTCGGCTCACTGCCCCGGTTCCAGCAGGAATGGGGGCCACACAACCCGAGAAACACAGACCACGCCACTGCCGAGCTGCACGAGCTTCAGCTGCAACAAATCGCCACAGAGCAGGCAGCTGCAACATCAGAAATGGACGTTCTCACAGCTCCAGGTCCAAAGTGGTTTCACTGGGCACAATAAAGGTGTAAGGTGTCTGCAGGACTCCTCGAGGCTCCTGCCGCCTCAGCCCCCGCGCTGCCCCCTTGGCCTCCCTCTCGTGGCCAGCAGAGCAGCACAGCGCTGGTGACACGTGGTCTGGTGGGGCAGACCTCCCCTGCTAAGAACACCAGAGGCGCCTCAGTCCCACCCGGATGATCCGAGATAATCCCCCGTCTCAGGGCCTCTCACTGAGTCCCCCCTGCAAACATTCCTGCCAGGTGAGGTCACTTTCCAGGGATTGGGGCCCGGACATTCCAGGGCCATCACTCAGCCCACCACACAGTGAAAGCACAGGATGCAGTGTCACAATCAGACCAAAGAACTGTTCCTTAGCTCCTCTTAGGGGCAGAATAGAGAGCACAGGGCTGAGGAGTGGCCCCCTCATGGTCCCCCTATCTCACCTGCCTCAGGTCACCTCCAGACCCTTTAACACCCAATGGTGACATTTCAGAGGCAAGGAACAGATGGACAGAAATCAGGGATTTGTGCCTGCAGGGAGTGGTGGGCGGGGTTCAGGGCTGAGCGAAGGAAGCTCCGGCAGACAGGTCCTGGCAGGAGGCTGCAGAGAGGAGGCGGCACCTGAGCCCGAAGGGAGCAGCTGGGGAAGAGGTGTCTGGATGGGACATGCCTGCCACTGACCCAAGTCTGTTCCTGTGGGTTACCCATTTCCCACGTAGACTTCTTAAGGATGGCAGCCTGGGCAATGCCCTTGTCTCTGTCCCCAACGCACACCTGGAACTGAGGGGGGAACGCATCTGTAGTGAAAGGAAGAGAAAGAGTAAAGCTGCAGCAACTCTTGGAGGGCTGAACCTGGGAGCCCAGGGAGGTGAAAGCAGATGGAGGCCCCAGTCCTGGGGAGGTGAAGGCAGGGGCAGAGGGGCCTTGATGGTGGTGGGGCGTGGTGGGGGCGTTGCAGAAACAGCAGCCAGGCTGGTGACTCTGGGGACTCCCCCTGCAGGGAGAGGGAGGCCCCGGCTAAAGGCCAAGGCTGCCCCGCACCCAGCGAGCTGTGCAAACAGCCAGCAGAAGGCCCACCGGCCCTCTGGGGACAGAGCTGAACTCACCCTGGGCTCTGCAGTACCACCAGGGGCAGCCTGCTGCTACAGGGCGGGCTCACACCTGGGGGAGCTGTGGGCAAGCAGGCCCTACCTTGGGGGCTGGCACTGCTGTGGGTCCCCTGGCTTTCACAGACCGACCACTCATGCCACCGGCACCAAGCGGACCTGGGACCTGCACGCCCTCGGCTCATCTGAGGGTGATACTGATGGGCTGTGCAAGGTCCCCAGACGCTGATGGGACCTCGATCCCAGCCAGTGTCAGGGCTCTTGACACCACCGCGAGAAGGAATTCAAGGACAAGTCCGAAAATAGTCAAAGTACAGAGATTTATTGCAAAGTGAAAAGTCTACACTCAAGAGGGGAGTTCGCGTGGACTCACAAGACAGTCGCGCAGTGAGGTTTGGGGCTGCTGCCTTTATGGGTTTTTTTTTAAACCAAGGGGCAGAGTCCAAGAAGATTCCTGGAAAAAGGTGGAGATTTCTCAGAACTGTGGTCCCACCAGTTTTTACTCCAAACATGGGTGTTCCCAGAACTGTCCTGGCACCCATGGGTGTGGGATTTAGGATTTTTTTTTTTTTTTTTTTGAGACAGAGTCTCACTCTGTTACCCAGGCTGGAATGCAGTGGTGCGATCTCAGCTCACAGCAACCTCTGTCTCACGGGTTCAAGCAATTCTCCTGCCTCAGCCTCCCGAGTAGCTGGGATTACAGGCATATGCCACCACACCCAGCTAATTTTTGTATTTTTGTAGAGACAGCGTTTCACCACGTTGGCCAGGCTGGTCTTGAACTCGTGACGTCAGGTGATCTGCCTGCCTCGGCCTCCCAAAGTGCTGGGATTACAGGCGTGAGCCACCACACCTGGCCTGGGATTTAGGATGTTAATGAGCGTATCATGAGGTCCTAGGTGAAACCCGGGTCAAATCCAGCACCGGGGTGGGTCCAGTTGGTCTTAGCCAGCTGGGCCCGCACTCTGGTTTTCAGGGTCTTACAGCCTGAAATCTATTTCAACAGTTCCCTTTGGCTGGTCCTGGAAAACTGCTGCCTGGAATTTTCTATCCTCTTGCAACCACCCTGTATGATTCCTGTCTCAGGGGATCTGAACTCCTGTTCCCAGGGGGAAGACAGCAGGAAGCCAATACACACACACACTGTGGGCAGAGAGAAACCAAGTGGCAGAGGGGAGAGAGACAAGAGGGGCCGCCCCCGCCGAGCAGGGCCTGGTTGGGGGAGGAGCCACTCGGGGCCCTGGGCGGAGACAGAAGGGGCAGCAGGTGCGAAGCTGGCAGGTTCAGCCCGGGCCAGGGGAGCCGAGAGAGGTGCGGCGAGGGGCAGGGAGGCAGGAAACAGTGTGCCAGGCCCCTGGGCCTTGAGAGGGGTTAGGGTTGAACTCTGAGTGCAACAAGAGGCCCAGGAAGTTTCCAGCACGGAGGCAGACAGGACCTAGTGTGACAGCGAGGCTCCCATAGTGCCGTGCGCCAGCTAGCATTATAAGGACTTTGCATTTATTAACTATTCTTATTTCAATGTACGGAAAAGGCTGAGGCCAGACGCACAGGCAGCTGCGCCAGGCTGGGACTCCCCACTGGCAGCCACCATGGGGCTCTGGAAGCCCCTCCTGTGCTGAATGGAGAGCCCCAGGATCTTTGCTCATCTCAATCTTTGTCAATTCTTCCGACACCCCTCACAAATGTGAGTGGTTGGTCTAAGCTGGTCACAGTGGGAGAACCCCTGGCTTTGGGGATTGGCTCACGGTGGTCCAATCAGCACAAAGCCCTGTTGCGGTCACAGCCACCCCAAGATGGGAGGGGCAGCGTGGGCAGAGGGTGGAAATGGCCCCCCATCTCAACCATCCCACAGCCCTGGATCAGCCATGCCTGAAGCCCCTGCTGCCCTGAGCTGCCCAGCTCTGGGAGCAGTGAAGGTTCTGGGAGCCAGTGAAGGTTTTGAGGGGTGGGCAGTGTGAGAAGAGGCTCCTGTTCGTTGCACCTGGAGCATCCTGAAGGTAGCAGGAAGGTTGTAGAACCGGGATGGGGCCACAAGACAGGAGGAAAGGAAAAGCAGGGGAGGGGAGGGGCAGGGCAGGGGAAAGGGGGCCGTGGAGGTGCTCGGGGGGCATCAGGAGCAGAATCCACACCTTGTCACCCCCACAGCCCCCACCTCTGCAGATCTCCAAGGCTTGAGGAGCCCCTCACACTCACTGAATGAGCCCTGAGGACCCCTGACGGGGCCTCCAGACTCAGAGTCCTGTTTGTGGGGCCACGGCCCAGCCTGCCCTTGCTAAGTAACTCTGAACTCGATTTAGACACTGGGGAAGGATTCTGAATTCAGTCCAGCGTGAATGCAGCCGTGAGGCCAGGGTGAGGCGGCCCTCACGGTGGTGATTGCCTAGAAGTTTCTTATGAAGCAGCACACACATAGTGTGACCGTCTATATGGGACTCAAAACAGGCAGAGACACCCGTGGAGACAGAGGTTAGAGCCACAGCCACGTGGCCAGGGTGGTGTGGACCTGTTTCTGGATCTGCCGCTTTAAAGTGTGTGTTTGGTTCGTGAACACTTGCTGGGGGTCCACTTACGCTTTGTGAAACTGGGCTGGGAACCTCACCTTGTAGAAGCTGCTGGAAGCAGAACACAGCATCCCTATGAGGGGGTGTGCAACTTTTAGGGGGCTGTGTCCCACAGCACAATGGGTAACTCATTTGTTTGAAAGCTGTAAGGCAAAACACATTTTTTTCTTTGCCTTTTTGTTGGTAGTCTGCATAAACTCAGCTGTTTTCTAGAAGTCAGCAAATAGCCATCCGTTTCCCTCCATGATGCCAAGGGGCCAGATGTTCGGGGAATTGCCCAGCAGACGTGGCTGCACCCCTCTGAGAGCCAGCCCAACCCAGCTCCGGCCTTGGTGGCTCCTGGTGGAAAAGCCTCTGCCCCCAAGCGTCCCCTTGGTCCAGGAGAAAGGCGGAGGCAGCCCGGCTGCTCATGCCAGCACAGCCTCCATCAAATTAAACATTCTATCCATTTACTTGATGGATGTTTGACCAGAGGAATCCAAAATTTAAATGTAAGCAGTGAGCCTGCTTTAAAGTGAATGGCTCATTAGGAAACAAAGCATCCCATGAGATCAATACTTGGCTTCTGAGCTCTGCTTTTCTGAAGGGATCGCTAAACGCCAGCAGGCAGGAGCAGCCAGGAGCTCCAATACCTTGGAGGGGGCGTTGAGCAGGCATCTGCACCAGCTAGGTTTTGGGGTGACTGCACCCCTTGAGTTGTGCGGCTGGGTGTCTTCTGGTGACGGACAAGCATGCTTCTCACTGTGGGAGCTGTCACCATCGCACACACCAGGCCCTGTTGAGACGTCAGGGCAGTAACAGGGAAGCTTCCTCAGGCTCAGAAGGAACAGATGGGCCCTGTCGGGGAGTCGGGGAGTCAGGGAGCCGAGGCCAGCCATGGAAGTCCTCAGCCAGGGAGGGTCCACATCTGGGGGAATCATGCCCAGGTGTGAGGCCCTGGGCTGGACAACAGCAGAGACAGGATGACCCAGGGGTGGTCTGCTGGTCCTGGCCCTCGTCCCCTGCTGGGAGGATGTCCAGTTAGGCCTGGAGCAGTGCCAGACCGTCCACCGCAGCCAGTGGGGGCTGCTGACGAGGATGCCTCCGATGTGTTTATCCACAGTGTCACTTCCTTTTTATTATAAAGGGAATGTGTTTCCTTTTGGGAACTTGAGAAAATACAGATTGGCAAAATGAGGACAATGCAAATCGATCGTATTCCAGCCACTCAGATACAATGACTGTTGGTGTTTATTCCACTGCGTGACATTTCATCTGGACATGGGGCCCCACTGTTGGTGTCCATCACTGTGCACCATCCTTGTGACCGGATGCTCCACGTTCCCTGCGTGCACACACTACAAAGCCCAGCCCGCTTTGTAGACATTTGGTTATTTCCAGATTCTCACTATTGTGAATAACACAGCAATGAATACTGTGGTGACCTTATGTCGTTCATCTGCCTAATGTCTATTTGGGGACCCTCCCCCAACTCTTGGCTTGGTTGGGGCTGGTCCCACTCCCAGCTCCAGGTGTGGGTGAGTCAGGCTGGGCTAGTCAGAGCCTCTCACCCTCCTAGTCACAGAAATGGGGTTGGGGATGGTTGCGTGGCCTGAGCCAAACCCATCAGAGCCCTCCCAGGGCTTCTGCCGAAATGCAGGGAAGGAGACACCCTCTGTTACTGGAGCTTGCTGGCCCCCGAGGGGACCTCTGGCCCACCATGGGGGAGAGCCAAGCTGGAAAGTATCAGGGCTGTAAGAGACTTGAGTGGATAGGACTTGAGTGGACAGGACCTGAGTGGACAGGACCTGAGTGGACAGGACTTGAGTGGGCAGCTCTCCAGGGGAGACGTGGAGATGGCCAGTTGGCACATGTAAAGATGCTCAGCACCTGTAATCACCAGGGGAGTGCAGGGAAAAGTTACACCCATTAGGATGGCTACTATTAAAAAAAAAAACAAAACAGAAAATGACAAGTGTGAGGATGTGGAGAGACTGAAACCCTTGCGCTCTGCTGGCGGAGTGTAAGATGGTGCAGCCGCTATGGAAACCAGTATGGCGGTTCCTCAGAAAATTAAAAATAGAATTACCATAGGAGCCAGCAACCCCCTTGTGGGTCTATACCCAGAAGAATTGCGGGTCTGGAAAAGACCTTTGTAGCCCATGTTCACAGCCGCGTTGTTCACGTTGGCTAAACGCCGGAGCAGCGGCGCCTCCAGGGAGGGTGGATGGGTGAACACGATGTGGGCCCCACGACAGCAGGACCGATGCAGCCTTTGAAGGAAGGGAATTGGGACGCAGCTGCCAGGGGTAAGCGTCGGGCCACGAAGGCCACGGGCCTGGGTCTCGCGTGGGGCCTTCATTGGGAGGAACAGCGAAGAGGCCACCCCCGCCCTCAGCCGTTCGTGCACTTGGTCCAGGCGGGACCCGGCAGGACCCCCAGCAGCCCCGGGAAGCGCCCGGACGACGGCACGGGGGCCCCAGGGCGCCGCGAAGGAAGCCCCCCGAGGGCGAGGCCGGGCGAGGCCAGGGGGCCGGGGCCAGAGGCGGTCGCGGCGGGGGTGGGTGTCCTGGAGCAGGAGCGGCAGCGGGAAACGAAGACACGCGCTTCTTCCTACTGGGGGGATGGCTGGGAAGTAAGACCGGCCGGGCCGCCGAGCCCGCTGCGAGGGGCTTCGCGTGGCGGCCGCACCTGAGCCCGAGCGCGCCCTTGAGAGGCGGCGCCCACGGGGGCAGAGACCCACGGTCCACGCGCAGACCCGGAGAACCCGCGATGTCGCCGCACGCAGCGCCGCTGTGAAGGACGGAGGCGGGGCGGGGCCCTGGGACAGGGAGCGGGTGGGGGCGGGGTGGGGGGAGGGCCCGTCCGGGCCTGCGCGGGAAGCCCTGGGTTGGCCTTGGTGCTCTGTGATGCCCACGCTGGGTGCAAATGTTGCTTTGGTAAAAATAACAACAACGAAAGGAAAAGCCAAGCCGGACCAGCCCCACCCGCAGGGCCCCGGCCCCGGCCCCGGCCCCGCCCTTGGACTCTTCCCCGCCCCACCCCCACCCGTGGGCGAGCGAGCCCGGACCGTGAAGGGAGGGGGCGGGGCGGGGGCCCGGAGGGGCGGGGAGGGGCCGGGTCCTCCCGCGCGGGGTCCTGGAGGTCGCGGCACGCGCTCCCTGCAGGCGACCCTGGGGCGCGTCTGTCCCAGGCCCGGGCAGGACCCCCGCCCGCTGGTTGTCTGCGCGGCTGCCCCGCGCCCGCCGCCCCCGGCCGCTGTCGCGCGTTCCCAGACATTCTTTGGGCCCAAGGCTCCGGGCGTTCTGGCGGCGGCGCTGGGAAGAGGCCGGGCGCCGGCTCCCACAGCCGGGCCCTGTCCCGCTGGGCGCGGGCGATGCCATTCGTCACGCTCTATTATTGTAGGCAGCGCACCCCGGGGCTCGGTTCCCACACTGCGCCTGAGGCCTGGGGCCTGAGCGTGGGCCGCACCCGCCGACCTGGGGGGCCCTGGAGGGAGCGGCTCGGAGGGGCGCCGGTGCCTGGGCAGGTGGATCTGGGAAAGATGCCACTGTTCCTGCCACGTCACTGCTGGCTGCAGGGTCCTGAGGTGGTGGCGGTGGTCCGTGGCCTGTGTCAGCTGTCATGTGCCGGCTGCAGGGGGCGGACAGGCCAAGGGACCCACCCCGACTTTACGATTAGAGTGTTGGGCCAAGGGTTTCTCTGGTTAAAGACCTGATGACCCTCCCATTGACAGCCACGGCCCAGCCAAGACCAGCACTACGCATCCCCTGGGCACACACCCCGGTGTCAGGACTCACCATGTGAGATCTAACCTGGCGGGCGCTATTTCCAGCCACACTGGAGGTCGGAGTCCAGACTCAGTTTCCTCACCTGGGAGACCGCATGGTAGCACCCTCTCCAGAGGTGTCTGCATGGCGCTCCGAGAAGGGCCTGGCACCCCTGTCTATGGAAGCATGTTTAAGTTCTCCCATCCACACACAGAATGCCGCTGCCTCTGCTGCCACAGTCGCATGACACAAACCACAGTTACGGGACCTGGACTCTGGAGAAACGCAGAGAACCCACGGGGCCTGGCCCTCCGCCCTCACGAGCTCCACAAGGACTCAGCGGTGACCTGTGTGAGTGAGAGTGTGTGGTCCCATCGGGACAAAGGGAGCCACGTGGCCCACTCTTGGGCTGGAAGACAGGAAAGTAGAACTGTTTTCCCCCAAAAGTGAGCAGGGCAGCCACCTGCCTGGCAACACGGGTTCCCCACACTGGGAAAACTGAGGTCAATCAGTTCGACCTGTACCTGTGCCACAGCCACTGTCTCTGCAGACCCATGGGTGCGACCTGAACACTAGGAACAGGCCTGTGCCCTGCTCCCCAGTGGAGGTGTCTGCTCCCGCCTGTGCACACTCAGGGTCAGTTGTCATGGGGGCCATCTGATCACTGCTGCTCCTTAGCAGCCAGGACAAGCCCAGGGACGCTGCACACTGCCAAGCCCACTTCATGCAAGTCCTGGCCGGAAGTCCATGCGATTCATGCAGAATTATGTCCCCACCCCCACCCCTCCCGCAGCCTCCACAGAGCCTGACCTGAGCTGTGGGCGGTCACTGGGGAGCAGTGACCAGAAGGCACATGGTCTATGCCCAGTGAGACCCCAGCCACTGCCTGCCTTCTCTTTCCGGCGGGTCCTGGGACCACCTCCCAGATAGATGACTTACACTCAAATCCTGGACTTGAGATCTAGTTCTGAAGAAACCAAACCAAGATGGGCAAAACGTCCACAAAAAGAGAAACACGAATAGCCAACAACGACATGAAAAATGTTTAGGAATCTAAGAGAGACAAATTCTAAGGGGAGATCGTATTTCACCCTCCAGACTGACGACCTTCAGTGGCGTGGTAAGAAAGCCAGGCGTGGCGAGGCCAGCAGCACAGGATGTCCGCGCCTGACCCTCCCACGACCCTTCGGGAAGTCTTTTGGGCAATATGAACTGAGGTCATCAGAAACATGCGTTTCTGCATCTCAGCAATTTCACTGTGATGATTTACCCCAAGGAACTAATTGGATAATCGTGCAAAGAGATTCAGGTGTGTATAAGATACTCAATGCAGGGCAAGGGCCAGGGCCAGGGATGGCTCTATCAGCAACGGGGGAAGAGGGCCAGGCCGAGGGAACATCGGGAGGCCAGTGCCAGCGGGAACCCGTGTCCCTGTGCCTCACAGCCCCTCCCCAGACTGTCCAGCCAGTCCAGGAATCTCCCAGTCCCCCGTGATCCTGGCCATACTCCCCTGGGAGTAGCAGGAAGGTGGCCGAAAAACACAAAGCCACAGCCAACTCCCTGCACCAGCTGAGGTCCAGTGATCTCGGACACACAGGGCACTGAGAACGTGGGCTGGACGGACACGTGGCCAGCTAGGCCCAGGACAGCCCGGACATGCTGCCCTCTTGGGTCTGATTCTCCTCCCTGGGACTTCAGGGTAAATAAGAGGCCAGAGGCCCTCTCTCCACTGGGATCGCCTGGCGGAGGGGCCACGGCCCTGGGGCTGGTGGGACCACAAGTGAGGCTGGCAGGGAGCCTGTAAAGTGAGCAGGACGAGAATCCTCTCCACAGAACAGTACGACGCCGAATAAGGATGCTAATGTGGCAAAAGCTCTCCATAAACAGTAAGCGCTGAGTGTGCAGAAATAATTTTATTTTTATCATCGCGTGTCCTGCTGTGCTGATCATCTGACTGCACGTTGAGACTGTGCTTTTCCGATCTCTCAGGTAGGGTGGCCCTACCAGGATCACTAACCCATGAGCAGGACAGGTGTGCAAGAGACCCCTGCTCACTCCAGTCCCCGCTCAGAGAACCATGGCCCCAGCAGGGTGCACGTGGCCTGCCCTTTGATCTAGTTGTCTTGGCCGATGACACAAGGTCATCATTCCTCAGCACTGGGTTGCCGCGGGAACAGAGAGGCCAAGGCCAGGCGAGTGTCCGTCCTGTCCAGTGGGATCCTTGCAGCGACCGGTGGAGCCTGTCAGAGCCCTGGGGCCAGGCCACCCAAACGCTGTGAGGTGGGGACAATGATAGAAGGGCCAGCACAGCACTCACTAAGAGACAATTGTAGTTCGTACATTTATAAAGAAAAGCCGGCCTCACACTGTGCACCCACCCCGTGACAAGACGCTTTTTCGTTTATGTCATGTAGCCATCGTGCAGAGCGTTTCTCCCGGGGCCTCGGGATGGGGCATCGTTGATTTCACCAGAGCCCCCGCACCCCATGTAAGGGGGCAGAAGGCCATGTGTAAGGGGGCAGAGGCCTTTTCCTGCCTCCACCTACCACACCCCAGGTCCCAGTGGGGAGCCCTCCCAGCACCAGGGGTCTTACACACACACAGAGGACTTCTATTTATGGCAGATCAGGGAACTTGGTTCCCTTCCCATCACTCCCACTGGAAGCAGAAAGTGCTGAGTGAAACACAAAACACACACAGTGTTTTCTCAGACACACGAGTGAGCTGGCAGGTGAGAAATGAACTCAGAAGCTGTAGCTGGCGCGTGGGCAGGAACCTGGAGGGCTGAGGGGAGCTCTGGGCTGGCTGGGCCTGCGAGGGCATTTATTGGATTACAAACGTGAACTTGAGCTTGGCCTGGAGGCCCGGGTGGAAGACGGCACAGCTCAGGGCGGACTGAAGAAGGGCAGTCTGGAGGGAGACCCTGTCCACATAAAGAACCACAAGAGGCTGGGCTAGAACAGCATTCTCTGGCCCCCACCCCTGGGCACTATCCCTGATTTGGGCACGGAGTGGAGGAGAAACCCTCTCCCTAAAGATTTGTGACCACAAGCTGGCACTCATGAGGTCAGCCCCCAAAAGTCACACAACCTGGGGGTCCAAAGCCCAGGATTTAATGTGAGTTGGTTTGAGACTGGTCAGGATTGCAGCAAACACAAGTTCTCTGTGGGAGAAACCAGGTCAACCCACACCTCAAGGCATTGCCGCACACATGTGGACCCATCGCGGAAACTCACAAAGCACACCAGGACTCAAGGCACATGGCGAGCTGGAAGCACACAGGCAGCAGAGCGTGGCTCACAGATCCTGCAGCTGTGGGATTTCCAGGGCAGAGGATATAACTCAGATGTGCTTAAGTAAGTAAAAAAGGGATTTAAAATAATGAATATAGAGTGTGTGATATAAAAATATGATAAAGCCAAATTGAAAAAGGCCAAATAGAATTTCTAGAAATGAAAACTAAATAGGTCAGGCATGATGGCTCACGACTATAATCCCAGCACTTTGGGAGACTGAGGTAGGAGAATCACTTACGGCCAGGAGTTCAAGACCAGCCTGGCCAACATGGCGAAACCCCATCTCTACAAAGATACAAACATTAGCTGGCACGGTGGTGCACACCTGTAGTCCCAGCTACTCAGGAGGCTGAGGTGGGAGGATTGCTTGAGCCCAGGAGGTTGAGGCGGCAGTGAGCTGAGATGACACCAATGCACTCCAGCCCAGGTGACAGAGCGAGAACCTGTCTCAAAATACATAAATAAAAAATAAAAGAAATGAAAACTAAGTGGATTAAAAATAGACGAAATTGAAAAAAAATTCAGTCATAGTAACACTTTAAAAAACCCTCAATGGATAGATTTAACTGCTGTTAGATATAGTTAAAGAAAAAGCTAGTGAAATGGAAGATTAATCTGAAGAAATAATCTCTAATCCAACACAGAGAAACAAAAACATGGACAATGTGAAGAGCACATGGTTCATAGAAAAGAAAGTGGCAAATATGTACAGCTAAACCCTATAAAGCAGACAATATGAAACAACACATGGACTGTCTAATGGGGCTAAGACAATAAAGATAAAACAAAATACAACACACAAGCGTGCATGGAGCAGGGGAGACTGACTTTAGACTGGAAGGGTCAGTAGGCAGTGAAATGACCAAGAAGACAGGAAGGGCAGGACACATAACTTTCACACTCATTCAGGGGAAGGAATGAGGGAAGTGTGATTTATTCAAAGAAAGCAAGAAAGGAGAGAAAAAAGGAAAAGAGAAGGTGAGATGACTATACGGTATAAAACAGACAGCTGGGTGCAGTGGCTCATGCCTGTAATCCCCACACTTTGGCAGGCCAAGGTGAGCAGATCACCTGAGGTCGGGAGTTTGAGACCAGCCTGGCCAACATGCAGAAACCCCGTCTCTACTAAAAATACAAAAAAATTAGCCAGGCGTGGTGGCGCACACCTGTAGTCCTAGCTACTTGGGAGGCTGAGGCAGGAGAATTGCTTGAACCTGGGAGGCAGAGGTTGCAGTGAGCCGAGATTGTACCACTGCACTCCAGCCTGGGCAACAGAGCAAGACTCCGTCTCAACAAATAAATAAATAAATAAAATAAAATCTGAATCATATGTCATATCTTAGTGGTGAAGTCTTGGAAGCATTCCCCCTTTTTAATTCTCATTTGATTACTTTCTTTTTCTTCAACTTTTATTTTAAGTTCTGGGTACATTTGCAGGATGTACAGGTTTGTTACATAGGCAAATGTGTGCCATGGTGGTTTACTGCACCTATCAATCCATCACCTAGGTATTAAGCCCAGCATGTGTTAGCTATTCTTCCTGATGCTCTCTCTCCCCTCATCCCGCCACCAACAGGACCCCATGTGTGTTGTTCCCCCGATGTGTCCATGTGTTCTCATCATTCAGCTCCCACATATAAATGAGAACATGTGGTGTTTGGTTTTCTGTTCCTGCATTAGCTTGCTGAGGATAATGGCTTCCAGCTCCATCCATGTGCCTGCAAAGGACATGATCTCTTTCCTTTTTATGGCTGCATAGTATTCCATGGTGTATATGGATGACGTTTTCCTTATCCAGTCTATCATGGATGAGCATTCAAGTTGATTCCATGTCTTTGCTATTGTGAATAGTGCTGGGTCAATTGGTGCTTCTGCCTGTAGGTCTTCAAGGAATCGCCACACTGTCTTCCACAATGGTTGAACTAATTTACACCCCACCAACAGTGTAAAAGCGTTCCTATTTCTCCACAACCTCATCAGCATCTGTTGTTTTTTGACTTTTTAGTAATAGCCATTCTGACTGGTGTCAGATGGTATCTCGTTGTGGTTTTGATTTCTCTAATGATCAGTGATGTTGAGCTTTTTTTGTGTGTGTTTGTTGGCCCCGCATGTATGTCTTCTTTTGAGAAGCATCTCTTCATGTCCTTTGCCCACTTTTTAATGGGATTGTTTTGTTTTTTCTCATAAATTTGTATAAGTTCCTTTTAGACTCTGGATATTAGACATTTGTCAGATGGATAGATTGCAAAAATTTTCTCCCCTTCTGTAAGTTGTCTTTTCACTCTGATGATAGTGTCTTTTGTTGTGCAGAAGCTCTTTAGTTAGATCCCATTTGTCAATTTTTTTCTTTTGTTGCCATTGCTTTTGGCATTTTCATCATGAAATCTTTGCCTGTGCCTATGTCCTGAATGGCATCGCCTAGATTTTCTTCTAGGGTTTTTATAGTTTTGGGTTTTACATGTAAGTCTTTAATCCATCTCAAGTTAATTTTTGTATATGGTGTAAGGAAAGGATCCAGTTTCAATTTTCTGCATATGGCTAGCCAGTTCTCCCAGCACCATTTGTTAAATAGGGACTCTTTTCCCCATTAGAAGCATTCCCCTTAAGATCAGGAGCAAGGCAGGGTGCCCACTGTCATCATTCTAGTCCACACTGTACAAGGCCTAGGAAAGGGTCACAGGAAAGACAAGAAAAAGAAATGAAAGGGGCTTAAAAAGATAGAGTGTCCATTTCTAGATAGAATGTCAACACACCAGGGCTGGGATCAGGGGCTCCACCCTCTTATCCTGCTGTGCAGTCGTCCTCAATATGTGGTTGCTAACTCCTAGTCTAGGATGGCCGCCCATGTGCCAGCCATCATGCTTGTCTTCCAGCCAACCGTAGAGAGGTAAATGAAAAGGAGGTATACCTCCTTCTCCCTGTTAGGACATTACTAGTGAGGCCTAGACCACTTTTACTTCCATCCCACTAGCCAGAGTATAATTGTATTGTTGGAGTTAGAATCCATCGTTTCTGGATGGCCCAAGTCCTTAACAAACGGAGGATGGGACGGGGGACCATTAGCTCAGCCTGGAGACAAACACACGGAACTGAAGGAAAAGCCCAGGCAGTGGGCAGACTGGTGGCCAAGCCAAGACCTGAGGTCCTCTCTCCCTGCGGGGAGCTGTGCTGGGCCGCCATTGTCTGCCACCATCCATGGCCTGCGCAGGCCTCCAGCCCCTCGGAGGCTAGTTCAGGAGGCTGGGGACAGCCTTGTTCGTTGATGGCACCTGGAGCAACGTGAGGGGTGCATGAGCACTGGCCGGGTTGTAGGACACCGAGTGACGTTGTGCCCCAGCGTCACTGGGAGAGATGCTGGAGCAGCGGTTTTGCCTTGCGGAGCTGTGTATTGGCGGGGAGGGCTTCTAGAAAATGTGCAGAGCACAGTTGGATTTTGTTATAAATTTCAGCAGGGATATTTTTAGCTCAAGGACTCAGGAGAAACCTGACTGTGCAGCCCCAAAGTCCCGAAGGTGCCGTCATAGCCTGGACACCGGCTGCACAGGCTCCACTGGGTCCAGGCAGCCGCCTTTGGGAGGGCCAAGCTCTAGGTCTTGAGGGGAGTTGAGGCCGCACAGCTCCTGTTATGGGCTTCGTGCGCCCTGGAAGGTTTTCCCTGCTGGGCACAGGGACCGCTGGGCCACAGTGAGGCACTGGCTCTACATTTAAGCCATGAGGATGTTGGGGCTACACTTGCTGCAGAAAGAAACAGACATTGCGCAGGGGACATGGCACTGGAGTCTGGCCTGCGCTGTGGCTGGGTGACAGCGCACAGGTCATCAGGGCCTCTGGAGTGGATATGGTCATTCCTGCAGGGGAGAGGACAGCGTGAGACGTGCCCATGGGAGGCACCTGTATTTCACTGAACGCCTTTCAGACAGTCTCAGAGAGATGGAAGAGCTGACAGCGTCTTCCAGAGGGAGTGGGGACGGGGTGGCCATCTGGCGGCCACGCCGGGCCTTGGCTTTCTTCGAGTTTCGGTAGAAGAATCCTCTGACCCCACCACAGGTCCAGCCCAGGCAGGGTCTCTGTGATGGTGGAGCCAGGAGGCCGTGACCTTGCAGATTTCTCCTCAAGCTCATTTGTAAGGAGGGAGTGGCCAGAGGACTGGAGGATGTTTTGCCATGGATGGGGCCTGCACAATAAATAGGCAGCTCTTGGAGGAAACGTGAGGTTTCATCCAGCAGACCCCCCAAGCCACTGCATCTAACGTCTGTCCTGCAGCTGGGGGAGGGGTGGTGAACTCGTCCTGTCACAAGGCAGGGACCAGGCAGTGAGGAGGTGCTCCGGGCTGGGTGCCGAGAGAGCGGGTCCTTCTGGAAAGGGCTGTGGACACAGCAGGGAGGCTGGGCATTCAGGTTAAAGTCAAACCAGACCAGATGTGCAGAGACTCTCAGGACGGACAGAGGGTCACACAGACACAGGGGCAGGAGTACTGAGCTGGGGCCTCCCCACCAAGCAGGGTCTCGGGCCGAGGGATCAGCCCTGGCAATGGAGCACGTGGGGAGAGTGCCTCCTCCCTGCACACATGGGCCCTGAGTCCACAGGGGCCACAAGATCCCCAGGCAGTGTGGCCCTGGCTTTCGGGACCTGGGGCCTCCCCAGGCATGTACACCGGAATCCCCTGAGCACCGCCAACGACAGGTACCCCACACCCAGGAGGGCATGTGGATGAGGAGAGGGGCTCAGGCAGGGCCTTTGCTGAAACGCCCAGGGGTTAAGATTTGCTTGTAGATAAAAAAATCCCTATTCTAGGAACTTACCTGGGATACCTATCCATTAAGATATGTGCCCCTAATACTGTGTCAACACCTCACCTCATCTTTGTGGAGGGTCCTTGCCCCCTGAGGAGAGGGGAAGAGTTGAGCTGGGTGGGCCAGAGCCCCCTGTACTCCTGGGTGCTCCCCAGCCTACACTCAGCTCTGGGTCCTGACCCTGTCTCCCTAGGCAGCCGGTTGCATCCCCTCTGTGCAGAATGTGAACCCCCAAGCAAGGCCCTGCTCCCCCTGGGCCCCAGAAGCCCCTGGGGGCCATAGGGTCCTGAGGAGTGACCGTCTGTCTGGGGGTCACAGCGTCCTGCGGAGGGACCGTCTGTCTGGGGGTCACAGGGTCCTGAGGAGGGACCGTCTGTCTGGGGGTCACAGGGTCCTGCGGAGGGACCGTCTGTCTGGGGGTCACAGCGTCCTGCGGAGGGACCGTCTGTCTGGGGGTCACAGCGTCCTGCGGAGGGACCGTCTGGGGGTCACAGGGTCCTGAGGAGTGACCGTCTGTCTGGGGGTCACAGCGTCCTGCGGAGTGACCGTCTGTCTGGGGGTCACAGCGTCCTGCGGAGGGACCGTCTGTCTGGGGGTCACAGGGTCCTGAGGAGGGACCGTCTGTCTGGGGGTCACAGCGTCCTGCGGAGTGACCGTCTGTCTGGGGGTCACAGCGTCCTGCGGAGGGACCGTCTGTCTGGGGGTCACAGCGTCCTGCGGAGTGACCGTCTGTCTGGGGGTCACAGCGTCCTGCGGAGTGACCGTCTGTCTGGGGGTCACAGCGTCCTGCGGAGGGACCGTCTGTCTGGGGGTCACAGGGTCCTGAGGAGGGACCGTCTGTCTGGGGGTCACAGCGTCCTGCGGAGTGACCGTCTGTCTGGGGGTCACAGCGTCCTGCGGAGGGACCGTCTGTCTGGGGGTCACAGCGTCCTGAGGAGTGACCGTCTGTCTGGGGGTCACAGCGTCCTGCAGAGGGACCGTCTGTCTGGGGGTCACAGGGTCCTGCGGAGGGACCGTCTGTCTGGGGGTCACAGGGTCCTGTGGAGGGGCCGCCTGCCTCTTCTGGCTTCTGGAGGTGCCTGGGGCTCCTTGGCTTGTGGCCACACTATCCCCATTCCTGCCTCTTAGTCTCTCATAAGACTTGTCATTGGATCTAGGGCACCCTCATCCCAAGATCCTTAACAGGCTGGCGTGGTGGCTCCTGCCTGTAATCCCAGCACTGTGGGAGGCTGAGGCAGACGGATCACCTGAGGTCAGGAGTATGAGACCAGCCTGGCCAACATGGCAAAGCCCTATCTCTACTAAAAATACAAAAATTAGCCAGGTATGGTGGCGTGTGCCTGTAGTCCCAGCTACTCGGGAGGCTGAGGCAGGAGAATCACTTGAACCCGGGAGGCAGAGGTTGCAGTGAGCTGAGATCGCGCCACTGCACTCTAGCCTGGGCAACAAGAGTGAAACTCCGTCTCAAAAAAAAAAAAAAAAATCCTTAACATAATGACCTCTGCAAAAACCCTATTTCCAAATAAGCCACATTGACAGGTTCCAGGGTTACGGTGTGGACATCTTGAGGGGTCACCATTCAGCCCACTCCAGAGGGGTCCATTGAGCTGGGTCCTCTGCAGGGCTGTGGCCTGTGCTGGGTGGAGACAGTCCTGGGGTGCTGGAGGCAAGCGGGGCTTCACTCAGGGCTGTATCTGGCTGCCTCCGAATCGCAACAGAAGCTCAACAAGCCTGGAGCTCCCTCAGGGGGCTCAGTGGCCTCTGAGACCTCCCATCTTCCATTTTCCCCTAGAGCTGGCCATGCCTGGGGACTCTGACCATGGGCCCCAGAGAGCGCTGCTCCCCTTTGGCCAGCGACAGGGTGGCCAGGCCCAGGATCTGGAGGGAGAAAGCTGCTGGCCTTCTCCAGGGTGCAGCCTGGAGCTTCCCTGCTCTTCTGCAGCTGTGCTCAGCTACGCTCCAGGGCTGCGCTGATTTCCGCTGTCAGTGACTTAAGCCAGCGTCCACGGCCAATCAGCACAGCACTTCTGCCTGCTGCCTGCTGGGTTCAGACCAGGCTGGGTCTGGTCCCTGACGGAGGATGCAGTTCTCATCCTTCAAGCACAAGCCTACAGGCAGCCCCTTGTCACCGAGCGTGACCCTGCCTCAAGGCCTCCTCCTCCCTCTCTTGAGTGAGTGGAGCAGAGCTGGCCGTGGCCTCCCTGCCTCCGCTGAGCCCACCACCAGTGGGTTTTGTTCGGGGCTAATGAGGCGCGGGAAAGGCGGAAGGTGCCGGCGTGACAGCTCAGAAGATGGAACTAATGAGACCTTGTTGCTGGACAAAGGTGGCATTCAGGGTGTCCTTTTGGCCTCGGCCCCCGACTCCCAAACGGGCCCCTCTAATCACAGATGGTTCCCGGACCTGTCCCAGCAAAGGGTCCTGAAGCCCCGGCTTTGCTGTGCAGAGGCTCCTCCCAACCTGGGTTTAGCCAGGCGCCTCCTCGCCTGCCCCACCCCCTGCATCTGGTCACCTCACCCCTCCAGGCGCAGTTTTGATGGAGAAAACCAGACGCTGTGGGAGCCCAGGCCGGCGTCTGAAGTCCGAGGTTCCAGGGGCCACAGAGCCCCGGCCTGGACTCACAGGGGAACTCCCTCACGGCAGGTGGGCCTCCTGGGTCTTTGTCTTCCTCATCAATTGGCAATAGCTAATCAGTGGTGGATTTCTGCAGGTTTGGCAGCTGCTGCTCCATTTGAAACAGCTTAAATGAGCTAAGAGCCAACTCAGCGGGTAAAACTGTAATCAGTGTACAAACAAATTGCACTTTCATTTAGTACATAAAGCACGGTAATGTTATGAGTGGATCAGAACTCACACGATTCAAGTTTACATTCAGAAGCCAGCAAAGCCGCTTTAGAATTACAAAGGGCAAGTTCCCAAGAGGTCTTGCTGAAATCTCAGCCTCTCCCCAAATGTTCATTTCCCACTTCCAACAACTCTCTAGAGTTTTGATGTGTGAATTGCCGAAACTTTTTAGGGCATTGCTTCTCCTGCTCCAGCAAGTGTGAGTCACTGAGTCCTGTGAAAATGCAGAATCGGATTCTGGCCTGGAGGGACCGTGTGTCTCTGAGCGTCTCACAGGGGTGCTGGTGCAGCCACACCATGCCCAGCATAGGCGCGCTGATCCTGAAAGCCCTTTGTGTCCTGGAAGCCCCTCCTGTTCGTGAAGGTTTGGAGAGAGGAGAAGGAAGTCCTGGGTTCCAGGGGCGGGGGGGCAGGGCGGGGTGCTGCAGACCAGGGGCAGCTGCGAGGGTCTCAGGGTGCAAAGCCATTCCCAGGGAACTGCAGACCTCACCGGGGCAGCCTGGCCTGCAGGGAGGTCCCAGGGGAGGCGACTGTGCTGGGCCAGGAAACCGCCTTCTCCTTCAGTGGAACACAATCCACACTCATGGCGGAAAACACAGGAAATCCATAAAGACGCAAAAGGAAGCCACGAACACTCTCATTTATTTAAAATTGGACAACTTATTTGAAATTGTCTATAAGGCAGACATATCTGAGACGCCAGATGGGGGCTGAGCGTACCGAGTAAAGAGGGGCTGACCCCAGACTTCTGATAGACAGGAAAACAGCAGTTCCCCTAAACCTCTGGGGCCCGGGCCCCCGACACACAGGCTCCTCAGTACTCTCTAAAGTATGCAAGGAGCTCGCTTGAGCACCAGGGGCAAGAACCCAAGAATCTGGGGCTCCTGGTGCCTGAGACTCTGAAGGTTGGGGTGCATGAGACCAGGCTTCTCCCACCTCAAACCGAACAGCCTCAGAGGACGGGGTCAGAGGCTGGGGGCCAGGGTCTCTGTGGAACCTGAAGGAACGGAGAGAGGGAGGGAGAGAAGCACCTGAGCCCTTCCCAGCAGGCAGGGCTCCAGCCCTGTGACCCACCCGTGCCCTCAGCTCCAGCCAGGGCGGGGGCTCATCGGCCCCTGCCCGGAGCTCCCCCACAGTTTACAGGGCACACAATTACCATCCCCACCCAGCAGGAGCCGGAGTAGAGAAGCAGAAATCCTTCCTTTGTTAATCATTTTCCATCAGAACTTCGTTTTGGCTTGGAAAGTAGGCCACGGCCAGGCTGCGGGGGGTGGGGAGGCCTGGACCCCCACGCGGCTGCTCTGAGCTCAGAAGGGTCAGCCGCCCAGTTGGAAGCGTTTTATTTTCTAACTCAAATACGTATTTATAGCAGAAGAGAGATGCTCCAAGGACGGGCTCCCTCCTGCCAGGAGCTGGAGCAACCCGGCCACTGTGCACACAGCTCTGGGGGAACGTCGCCTCACTGCCTGTCCTTGCCCCAGGCCCCTGCAGTGACAGACGGGGGCTGGCTTTTCCCCGAGTGAAAGTTGTCAGAACCAAAATGGAGACACTTGTGCTAGAACCCTGGCAACGGAGCCGGAGGTGGCCACGAAGGGGGTTCTCACACACGAATGCCTGATAACAAGAACGGAAAGACTGTGAAAAAATCCACAACCTGGCACAAAGGCTGCTGCAACCTCGCACAGAAATTGCTCTGGAGGACATCGAGGTGCCAGGTGCTGCTGTCCAATCACACCTGGAGCCTCCCTTGCTGCTGGTCTTGGGGAGGCGGGCTCCAGCTCGAAAGGAGGCACACAAAACTGCTGGGAAACGGGCCGGGCAGGCAGGGGCGGGGCCGGGCGGGTGAGGACATGGCTTCTGTGCGCACGGCCCGGCGCGATGGCTGGTGTGGACCCCTACCTTTGGAACACGTGGGGCCAGGCCGAGGGGGTTCCGCCACGTCTCCTGGGCAGAGCGCCAGCCTCAGTCACCGTGTCACTGTGTGTCCCTCCACACCCCGAGTCCTGGCAAACCAAGGCAGTGCAGGAGGACGCCTGGTGCCCAGGGTGATGGACATGGGTAGCACATGGGCCCCATGTGTCCGGGAGCCTGGGGCCTGGTGCACCAGGTCTCAGCTCCTTCCCACCGTGGGTTCTGGGCCAGTTGCAGGCAGAGAACAGAGCGGGTGCCTGGCTCAAGCCGGCCAGTGTCTCCCCCATGTCTCAGCTCCTTCCCACCGTGGGTTCTGGGCCAGTTGCAGGCAGAGAACAGAGCGGGTGCCTGGCTCAAGCCGGCCAGTGTCTCCCCCATGTCTGAGCCCAAGACCCGAGACACGGCCCCCACTGAGACTGGGGGTGGCTCTGGGCACCAATCTCGTGTGTGGGGGCCCCCCACCGCCCACCCCCGCCCAGTCTCCAGGGGTTGTCTGGGGCACTTTGCCCTCCCCAAGGCCCCCCACGCCCATTCCTCTTTGAGCCCCGTGCCCCTGAGTGTGCCGGGCAGTCCCTGGGAGCCCTGTGGTGATGGCAGCCACACCTCCCGGCCCTGCTCAGAGTCAGGGGTGCCCTTCAGGATGGGCTAGCCGCAGCCCATGGACCCTGCCTCCTGGGGGGCCGCCCCCCAACACGCTTCACCGCCGCCGCGCCCTGCCCCCGGGGCAGCTTTCAGGACTGTTTGTCACCAAGGCCAGTGGTTGCAAAACAAGTGGGGCCTGAATTTATAGGAACTTAGAATTTCTCCAGGGCAGAAGGTTGAATAAATGCAGGGGAACGTCAGGGGCAGATGAGGGGAACGTCAGTGGCAGAGCTGACGCGGGTTCCCTCCCTCTCTCCTGGCCGTGGACCCTCGCTTGCAGAGAGGGGCCGGCCCGCGCACCCCCGGCTTCCGAAGCTTGTCTCCAGTGACTTATTCTCGTCTGTGCAGCGGCCAATTCTGAGTTTGGGGCAGGAGCCCTGGGTGGCCCCTCAGATCCCTGCAGGCGTCCCTCGAGTCCGCCGGCCCTGTCTGCCGGAGCAGCTGGGCTTTGCTCTTCGCAGATAAAGCTCCTGGCACCCGTTCCATGCTCCTCGGGTTTGTTCTTTATTTTAAATCCTTTAAAGTAAAAATCTCTGTCTCTCTCCCTCCGTCTTTCTCTCTCTCATTATCAACTTTTCTGCTCTCAGAAGCCCTTTTGATCTGGAGCCTTGAGATGCTCTGTCACTTAGAGACAAGCCCCCTGCTTCTCTTTTTGACTTCTGTCCTTCCCTGTCCGTCCTCTCCCACGTGGCCCTCAGTGGCCCCGCTAACCTGGCCCTGGCCCTGGCTTCCAGGTCTCTTGGCTGGCCTTTTGCATTCATCACTTTACATTTTTCCATTTTGAGTCCCAGGAAGATTTATCAACTTCTCCTCAAATTCCCGAGTTCACCACCAGAAACCAAAGTTGCCGTTTCATTTTCGGGCTGTTGCCACGAGACCTGCAGGCTCCAGCACCCACGAGGCCCATGGCCACTGGGAGGGACATTGGTGTTCCCAGGGTGTGAGGGCACCTTGGCCGGCATGGCGGGGACACGGGGTCATGCCCACCATGCTGGTTCTGCTGATGCCATGGGCCTCTGAGTACTCACTGCCCTGGGTGTGCGGGGCTCGGTGCGGGGAAGAAGAAAGTTTAGCACGAGCGATCGGGGTGGCCAAGAGCCTGGCATGCACAGCCCTGTTCGGGAGCAGTGTCTGTTTTCTTGTCTGAGCAGTGCTTTGCAGTGGGATTTGCAGCCGCAAAAGTTCTTGGCTAAGACGCTTGTGTCTTAGGAAATGTTGGGTTGCACGTTTATTTTTAGCTTCAGGAATGTGACACTTGATATTATTTGGGTTTTTGAGAGGGCCAATCCTGGAACACTCTTGCCTAAAAGTGAAGGTGACAGCTCCACATTGGAAGATGCAAGCTGTCCTGCTCTATCCTGCTCTGTCCTGTCCTGCTCTATCCTGCTCTGTCCTGTCCTGTCCTGTCCTGTCCTGCTCTGTCCTGTCCTGCTCTGTCCTGCCAGGGTGGGAGTCACGGTCGCACATCCTCTCACTCTCAGGGCCTGAGTAGCTGGGAGGCAGGGAAGGGACCATCGGGGAGGGGCCGCAGGGGTCCTGGCGGGTGCCTGGCTGGCCCAGGGTGGCTCAGGGACAGGCGGTGCGGAGGACGTGCGTTCTGGGGTGTGCAGAAGGTGGAGGTGGGAGGGCTTATTGGGGATTAGAGGTGGTGCAAGATAAAGATAGGGGTCAGGAAGGGCTCCAGACTCCGGCCTGAGCCACAGGAGGCCGGGGTGGCATCAGCTGAGCCCCAAGCCCACAGGAGACAGCCCTGACATATGGGTCGGGGGGCTCAAGGTGTCTCTAACAGTCCAACAGCAACACAGTGGCTCCGAGGAGGTGGACGTCTGAGTGGCTGCTCCAGGCTGCCGGGCAGCCCTGCTCCTCTTACCTCAGGGCCAGGCCTCCTCCGCCTTGATGTCTCCCCTGGAAACCCCAGGACCACATCCAAAGAGCAGAGCTTTGGGAAAGGGGAAAGAGAGCATGGAGGGGTCAACTCAACCACAGGGTCCTCAGGGGCCCTCCCGGTCACGATCCTCATCGTGGGAGCAGCCCTGCCCCACCCTCCACAGGCAGGTGACCTGGAGGGGTTTGCTGTTCCATGGAAGAGCCCCTGGGTGCTGAGCATGCATCTGAAGTTCAAGGGCGAGCCTGGGCTACAGGAGGATCTGTGGGCATCCATGCTGGGAGGGAAGCGTGGAGACAGGGGCCGTGGGACATCTTCCTGGATTTCAGAGGGAAAAGCCTCCCCAAGCTGCTGCCCTTGCTGTGGGAAGGAGAATTTACCTGTGTCCTGTGGCCAGCAGGGACTACTTGTGAGGTCGGTGGAGTTGTTGGGCCACACCCCGGTCATTGCAACCTTGGTACCCAAGGCAGCTCTTCCCTGGGAGGCCTCCTGAGCCCTTCAGCCCTGATACGTTTTGCACATTCTTAAAACACCTTAGCTGTGGCATGCGGGTCCTACACTCCCCCAACCCTGTCGTCTATCAGTGACACGTCTACCCCTTTGATTGATGTCCTCAGCCCTGGGCCTCCGAGTTCAGCGTCTTCATGTCCCAGCAGCCAGCCCTGAGGCAGGTGCATGAGAGGCCCTTGGTACATGCTTGTGCAGTTGAATTTTTAAAAATGAGTGTGGCCCCCTCGGAAGTTCATGGAATAAAACTGTTATCTGGGGGTGGGGGGTGATTTGTTTGAGGCTATTTAGTGGCAGAGTTGGAATTTAAACCATGATTTTTCTACTAAACAATTCTAAATTGCCTCTCAGGCACTGTTGGGAATGGGGACTGGGTTCTCCCAGATACTTAATGCTTTAGAGCTGGAAGAATTTTCAAAAATTATAGTTAACTGAATTTTGAAGAGGTCCATGGAGATACCAGATTTGTGTCACAAGAAGGGAGTTTTCCAAAGAAAAGGAGCAACTGGAGAGCAAGAAAGAGTCTGAGATTTGAAATGTGATTTTCAAATTCAATGGGAAGCCTGGAATTCAATGGGCACCCTGGAAGATAAAGAGGAAGAAATTTCCTAAAATGCAGAGAAAATAGACAAATACATGGGCATATGAAAGAAAACTTAAGAAGTACAGAGGCTTAATCCAGGCACTCCAGACACCACCTAATAAAAGTTCCAGGATGATAAAATAGAAAACTTGAGTGAGGAACTACTAAAATAATTAGTAGAAGTCTAGGCACAGTGGCTCATGTCTGTAGTCCCACCACTTTGGGAGTCCAACGTGGGAGGATAGCTTGAGCCCAGGAGTTTGAGGTTGCAGTGAGCTATGATTGCACCACTGCACTCCAGCCTGGGTGACAGACCCAGACCCAGTCTCTTAAAAATAAATAAATAAATAAAAATTAAAAAAAAAAAAGAATAAGAGAAAATTTCCCAGGGTTGAAGAATTGCAGTCAGTCTGAAAGACCCAAAGTGTCCTAAACAGGATGAAGGACAGGGCACCGTACCTGGCACACCTGCTAAAATGTCAGACTATCAAACATAAAGAGAAAATCCTAAAAGCCCAGCAAGAGAAAGAACAAGCTACCACAGAGGCATGAGGATCACACTGGCATTTGGCTTCTTGTTGCTGATGTTAGAAGAACAAGCTACTACAGAGGCATGAGCAACCACACTGGCATTTGGCTTCTCATTGGTGTTGCTGATGTTAGGTGTCTATGCAAGGAGCCTGTAAGCTTCTGAAAAATGATGATTTAGAGCTGAGAATTCTATACCCAGCTAAACAGTCCATCAAAACTGACAGTGAAGTTGAAACAGATTCAGACGTGCAAGAACTCAGAACATGCACTTCCTGGGTTAAAAAAAATTTTTTTTTGAGATAGGGTCTTGCCCTGTTTCCCAGGCTGGAATTTGGAAATTGGCTTGGATGTAATTGCAGATGGGCCAGGATTGCTCGAGTCATCATTGCCCTTTTGTCTTCCTGGAAAGCACCCGCCAGCAGTACGAAGGAGAAACACATATACAGACTCCCTCATCCAGAAACCGAGAAACTGGGAATTGCCCAGGCCTCCAGGTGGTGGGGAGGAAGGGCAGGAGGGAGAGACTAACACAGAGAGAGAGGGTCCCATAGGGGTATTTCTCAAGGGTGGGGCCATTGAGGGGGAAGAGTGGGGAGGCTGCAAACAAGGACCCACATGCAGTGGCCATGGCTCTGAGTCAGGGAAGAAGTGCCAGAGGAGAAATGGACACACAGGAGTGGCCAGGATCGTTTTTTAAGGAGGTGCATCTGAAACATGTTATGAAGCCTCCTTATCGAAGCAGCTCGGGAGGCTGGATGAAGACAGTAGTTGGGGCAACAGAGCAAATGGTGCAGACGCTGCCCAGATCCACACGGAGCCCCGTCTGTGCTCCAGGGGGAATGAGTGGTGGGCTGGGCACCTGGAGAAAACCGTTGGTTGACTTTATTCATTGTCGTACAGCAGGGTGGATTCCAGTGATTCATGTAGGTAATAGTTAAAAATAACTTCTCAAAGGCGTTCTCTAAGAATGGGAATGTTCTTTAAAACTTTAGCTGGGAAAGTCTTTTTAGTTTTTTTTTTTTTAATTTTTAAATTTAAAGTTAGAAATGGTGGGCCGGTGGGGGAGGGTCTCACCATCTTGCCCAGGCTGGTCTTGAGCTCCTAGGCTGAAGCGATTCTCCCACCTCTAACTCCTAAAGTGCTGGGCTTACAGGCGTGAGCCACCATGCCTGGCCAGAAAAAGTCTTTTTAAACAGTGATGTGAAACGCAGAAGCTCTGAGAGGCTAATAAATTTGACTACAGAAAAATAAAACAGTTTCTGCAAAAGCTGTTGGAACTGTATTCAGGAGACAAACTAAGGTGGGCACCTCATCTCACAGGCAAGAGCCTGGCTCCCCTCATGTAGAAAGAGCTCCTGGAACTCAGGAAGGAAAAGCGACCAATGGGAAGAGGGAGAAAGACAATGACAGGGACACATCTGCCCCATGGAAGACATCGACATCCCCCAACACAGAACCCTGGACCTCGAGTGTGGCCTTCTAAGGGTCTTTGCTGCAGAGCCCACCAGATGTGCCTGTGAGGCTGGCTGGAAACCGCCAAATGCCCAGGGCCAGCACCCAAGAAAAGAGGGAAGAGACGCGTGCACACAGTTCCCCTGGGAAGACAGACAAAATCCTGAAACTATGACGGCCTGCAGCATGCAGATGCTGGCGGCGGGGGTAGGGAAACCCCCAAGCTTTTTGTTTGTGAACCTGTGTAAAGGTATTATCTACTTTAAAATTCATTTCTTAAAAAGAAATAGGCTGGGCGTGGTGGCTCATGCCTGTAATCCCAGCACTTTGGGAGGCTGAGGCGGGTGAATCACGAGGTCAGGAGATCCAGACCATCCTTGCTAGTACGGTGAAACCCCGTCTCTACTAAAAATTAGCCGGGCATGGTGGCGGGAGCCTGTAGTCCCAGCCACTCGGGAGGCTGAGGCAGGAGAATGGCGTGAACCCAGGAAGCGGAGCTTGCAGTGAGCCGAGATCGCGCCACTGCACTCCAGCCTGGGTGACACAACAAGAGTCCGTCTCAAAAAAAAATAAATAAATAAATAAAAGAAAAGAAAAGAAATAGAGGTCTAAAGCACTCATTTAGAGAGAGACCTGGGCACCCCGGGAAGTGGAACTGAGGCAGATGGGACACAGGATGAGGACTGCTTTCAATTTTCTGTACTTTTATTTTTATAGTTTGAGTGTTTGTGATTACTTTTATTCCTTAAAATCTCATTTTGGCTCTTATGTTTGTAATTTTGTAATTTAAAAAAGTAAATGGGGTAGAACTAAATGAAGTGGAAATAAAGTTGCATTCGAGAACAGGGACTTAAGAATAGGGTCGGGGGCCGGGTGTGGTGGCTCACACCAGTAATCCCAGCACTTTGGGAGGCGGAGGCGGGAGGATCACCTGAGGTCAGGAGTTCGAGACCGCCCTGGCCAACATGGTGAAACCCCTGTCTCTACTAAAAGTACAAAAATTAGCTGCATGTGGTGGCACGTGCCTGTAATTCCAGCTACTCGGGAGGCTGAGACAGGAGAACACCTTGAGCCTGGCAGGCAGAGGTTGTGGTGAGCCAAGATTGTGCCACTGCACTCCAGTTTCGGGGACAGAGTGAGACCCTGTCTCAAAAAAAGAAAAAGAGTAGGGGTGGGGCGCGGTGGTTCACGCCTGTAATCCCACCTCTTTGGGAGGCTGAGATAGGAGGCTTGCTTGAATCAGGAGGCTGAGGCTGCAGTGAGCTGTGATTACACCACTGCACTCCAGCCTGGGCAACAGAACAAGACCTTGTCTCAAAAAAAGAAAAATAGAAAAAAAAGAACAGTATCTGAAATATATTTCTGATTAATAGAGGAACTGAAAATAAGGGCTAACATTTAAAAATTCCTGAGACTGAGGAGGGGAAGGAGGAGTGAGTGGTGTAAAAATGCCAACATTTTATTATTCATAGTGGAGAGGCCAAAGTGAGGAGGGAAAAGCATTTACAATTTACCAAAAGGAAAAAAAGGAAAGAAAATGAATACCTGCTTATTTTAAAATTATTGCTACTGTTTAAAATCACAGGTATTTTTTTAATTTAAAAAAGGATAAAATAAAAAAGGGAGACCAGGCCCATGTGGGGGCCTCACAGGCAGCCTCTTCCCAGCAACACAATTGCACCCTGCACCCCAGCCATCTAGGGGCACCTGGCAAGCTGTGGAGCAGCCCTAGGACTGGCGGGTGGGCAGAGGGTCCGTTGTTATCAGGGGCTGGGGGAAGCCCCCAGGGGTGCCTGTGCCCCTGAAGGGTTCATGGGGCCTTGGTGACTGGGAAGGGACCTTCTGTGCCCCAGGATGGTCCACCTCATGCAGGAGCCCTGTAGCCCTGGGTGTGCTGGGGGCAGTGTCCTGGGGGCCTGGGGGGTCCCTGGGCGATGCTGGGCTCTGCACAGGGAAGGCCATGAGTGGGGGATGCTCTTGGGGGATGATGGGAGGACACTCTGTGGGGTTCTCTTGAGAGGGGTGCTCCCAGAGACGCTCCTGGGGGCATCTGGAGGTTGCTCCCGCTGGGAGTTCCTGGAGTGCCCCTGAGGGCCCCCTTAGGCCAAGGTCAGGCACAGGCATGGGGCTATGGCTACAGGCAGGAGAGAGGGTGGCGGGGGGGCCACCGTCCTCTGTGGACCCTTCAGTGCCAGCCATGCTGCTGCTGCTGCTGTGGGGTGAGGCCCACCAGGGTTGACAGCAGGGCACTGAGTCCCCTCCAGGCAATGCACATCCTTCCCTTCAGCTCACTGCTCTGTTTGCCGGGCAGGTCACCTGTTGACCTCTCCGGCTGCAGGCCCGCCTGTCCCTGGGCACTGTCCCCTTCTGTGTGGAGTTCCCCTGGCCCCCTGTCCTGGACCCATGGCCCCTACCTGGTGCCTGTGAGGGCACCTGATAGGCCAGGGCCCAGGGATGACTCCCCTCCACCCCGCAGCATCAGGACCCTTCAGGGCTGCCACCTCCTGGGAGCCCTCTGTCCTTCGCAGAAGGAGCCCAAGGCCCATGTGCTGCTGGGGATAGGCTCCCCAGGGTCCCTTCAAGGTGGTGGGGGAGGCTGGCTTGGGGGACCTGCCCCAGCAGCTCCACCTTTACCAGATGTATATGTTGGGGTAAGATTTTGTTTGAGAAAAAAAAGAGTTTTTATGGCTAAATGTTAAAAGGGTGAACGTGCTGAAGCCGGAGGGGTGGAGAGCAGGACACGGGCTGACCTCGGGGTGGGAGGCCGGCGCTTCCAGGAACCGCCTGAGCTGTGAGGGCACACAGGCAGGCTGAGGGCCGGCTGAGCCACCTGGGCACCAGTGGCCAGGCCTGGGTGCTGAGGAGTCCCTTGCTTCTGCTTCACGGGGCGTCTAGAAAGTGCATCTGAGGCTGGCGTCCCGCGCCAGCACGGGGGTCTCTCTCCTCCTGGATGTCTGCGTGGTGATGAAGGTGGAAACAGCCCCCAGGGCAGCTCCTGTTACTTTAAGGCCCTACACATGTTCATTTGCAGCCTGAGGTTTTCTGTCTAAATTCACATTTTGCAGTTTCACTGAGTTACTTTCATTCATTTTTACATTTACATACAGCAGTGATCTCCATGCCTGCCACTTTCGAGGCTTCTCCAAGGGCTTTGTTATTTTGTTCTCAGAGAAATCAAAAACAGCAGAGACACAAATGTTGAAAAGTTTCATTTTCTGGTCTTCTCTGAGTGCCCGCCCCCCCACCAACCCCCCAGGGTTTCTGGGAAGAAGAAGAAAAAAATGACAGAATTATTCGTGATTGGGAAATCACTTGGCTGTGGCGGGTGTGGAAGCTCCCCAGTGTCCGGAGCTCCCTGTGTGGAAAGTTTTGTGGTGTGTGTGCCGTGCCCTTTCTGGAGGGTTACACAACCCAGGACGGACGCGGTGGGGGCACAGAGGGAATGACACTCCCTTCCCAAACACTCAGAAGACAGAAGAAGACGGGAGCCGGTGCAGCCCAGGCTCCCTGCCCTGCCGAGACCTGACCGTGCCTGGCCAGCCCCTGCCCCAGCCCCAAGGGACTCCCACGAGGACACCAGATCCTCCGGGGGTGGAGGAGCCCTGCGGTGCCTGTGCGGAGGGGCCTGAGGCTGGAGGAGGCCTAGAGGGCTGATCCTGCCTTTGCCCCACCATTCTGATGTTTTGTTCGATGTGGACGTTTTGCATTCACTTAGATTCTGCAAAATCTTGCGTTAAAATATGACTTATCTTGATTCCTGAATTTTTCCATGCCTTTTGTACCTGAGGGGACTGTCACACTCACCTAAGCCCTCACCAGGCCCTAGTGGGTCAGAAGGCGGGAGTACAGTATCTCTGTGTGTGTGTGCATATGTGTAGTGTGTGGTGTGCTTGTGTGTGTTTATGTGGCATGTTGTATGTATGTGTGGTGTGCATGTGTCTGTGGGTGTGTGTGTGCGTTTGTCATATGGGTGTGTACGTGGTGTGTGTGTGTGCTGTGGGGACGTATGGTGTGTGTGTAACGTGTGTGGTTTATATGTGTGTGATTTATATATGTGTGTATGTGTGTAATGTGTGTGGTTTATACGTGTGTGATTTACGTATGTGTGGGGTGTGTGGTTTATATGTGTGTGTATGATGTGTGTAGTTTATATATGTGTGTATGTGTGTGATGTGTGTGGTTTATATGTGTGTGTGGTGTGTATGCGTGATGTGTGTATGTAGTGTGTGTAATGTGTGTGTAGTGTGTGTGGGGTGTGTGTGTAGTGTGTGTTGTGTGTGTGTGGTGTATGTGTGTGGTGTGTGTGTGTGATGTGTGTGTAATGTGTGTGGTGTATGTGTGTGGTGTGTGTGTGATGTGTGTATGTAGTGTGTAATGTGTGTGTAGTGTGTGGGGGGGTGTGTAGTGTGTGTTGTGTGTGTGGTGTGTGTGTGGTGTGTGTGTGAGATGTGTGTGTGTACTGTGTGTAATGTGTGTGTAGTGTGTGTGTGGTGTGTGTGTGGTGTGTCTGTAGTGTGTGTTGTGTGTGTGTGGTGTGTGTGTGGTGTGTGTGTGGTGTGTCTGTAGTGTGTGTTGTGTGTGTGTGGTGTGTGTGTGGTGGCTACAGCCTGGCTGAAGGTTGGAGTGTGAGAAGGCGGTGTAGGAGAAGCCATGTGAGTTCTGCCTGCTTCCGCATTGCCCTCAGCGCAGGGTCCTGGCCTTGGGAGTCCCAGCACAGTCCCTCTGGGTGTGGAGACAAACGGGTGGGCTTGCTTGGCTCCAGGTATCTGCCGGCCCTCCCCATCCCACCCCCCAGGGCTACAGAGTGGGGACAACCTGTGGGTGCTCCCCGAGGCTGCCCAAGGGCAGCCTGGAGGAGGGGAAGGCCCCGCTCCAGGTGGCCACAAACGCAGGTCTGAGGCTCTTGCACAAACCCCACAGCGCACACAGGTAACACATCACGGCATGCACGAGTCACACAAACACGGCCGCAATGCTGGGCACTGCAGGGCGGGGCATGCCGATGGGGCTGCACTGGGTGGGTGTGAAGCATCAGGCCTGGGCTGGCGGCTGTGGCTGTGCTGTGGGACATCGCTTTCTTGGGGGATGCATGTTGAGAGTGTGAGAGGGAGTGTCCTGATGTCTGCACCTTACTTTAAGTGGCTCGGCAAAAAAACCTAAAGCGCATGTGTGTGTGTGTTTATAGACAGAGAGCAAAATATACAAAGGTGTTTAAAATGGGTGAATCTGGGTGCAGGGCACACAGCTGTTCATTGTACTATTTGCTCAACTTTCCTGTGAGCTTGAAATTTTTCAAAGTAGAAAATTTAGTTTTAAGAAATCCATAAACGAGGCTATATTTTTATTTATGTGATTCTAATACCCTAATTTTAAAAAAGAAAAGAAAGTTTCCATTCCCGACTGAAAAATACCTGTGGATGAAGAGGCATGAAGACACCCCCTTCCTCCAGGGCCCGATGTGAGCGGGGCGGGCAGGATGTCCTCTCTCCCTCTGAGACCTGGGGGAACAGGGCGGGCAGGACGTCCCTTCTCCCTTCGAGACCTGGGGGAACGGGGCGGGCAGGACGTCCCTTCTCCCTTCGAGACCTGGGGGAACGGGGCGGGCAGGACGTCCCTTCTCCCTCCGAGACCTGGGGGCCCAGCTGCATGGCTTCTCAGCTGCGCTTTCTGTCCAGGACCTGGGCACCTTTGTGTTTCCTCCAACAGAACACTTTGGACTGGCCAGGAGTCTGGGAGGCAGGTTTCCAAGAGCAGGGACAACATGGACTTCAGCAAAGTCCAGCGGCCCCCAGGCGGCATCAATACCCAACCCCCTACACCCAAGCACATCCGTCAATGGTCAGAAAACCAAAAGACAAGCAGAAACCAGGACGGCCGCCCGAAGAACGGGGTGCCCTGGGCCACCACTCTAATAACCAGCTACAAGGAACGGAGGCCCGGAGATGGTGCAAAACATCTTGAAGAGACTACAAGAATAAAAACAACCTGCCATCCCATAATTCTATGCCTATCCTTCCAGAAATAAAGCTATTTTCAGATCAAAGAAAATGGACAGAATTTGTTCACAGTAGAGCTTCATGACGTAAAATGCTAGGGAAACTGCAGGCTGAAGGGAGAAGACGCCGAGCAGGAGATGGGCCTTCTGGGAGGATGGAAGAGCAGTGAGAACACCAAGAGGTGGGGGAGGTTAGCATAACAGACAATTTTCCTCCTCGTCCCAAGCCTTTTGAAAATAAAAATGATAACATTGCACTGAAGTGCTGTTTACACGTGTCGATACAGTACACACAGTGCAGTAGGCAGAGGGGTGAATTGGCTTATAGGCAGGCCAAGGTCTCACGTTTTCCAAAAGTGGCACGATATTGGCTCTGCGTAGACCATGGGGTGAAGTGTGCGTGCAGTGAAACCTGGAGTGACCCTGACCGCTGATACAAGCAATGGTGTGGACGCTGCTTGCAGACACGCCGAGCACCCAAGAGTGCATTCGGGGTGATTCCATTTATATGATGTTTCAAACAGGAAACGTTCATCTAAGGTGAAATATTCAGAACAGTGGTTTCTTCTGGGCATAGGATTGACTGGGGAGTGACGTGAGGGACCTTTCTAGGGAGATAATAATGTCCCATGTCATGAAAGGGTTTGTGAGTTATAGCATGTGTCCATTTGTCAAAATGGTACAGCTGATTGAGAAGAATGAACTTGAAGACTGACACTCCCCGGCTTCAAGGCTGACTATAAAGCTACAGTAATCAAGACAGTGTGGTACTGGGGGGAAGAAGAGACAAACGGGTGAATGGACAGAATAGAGAGCCCAGAAATAGACTTGCATATATGTAGCCAATCGATGTTTGCCAAAGGAGCAAAGGCAAAAAAATGGGGCAAAGACAGAGGGTGCTGGAACACCTGGACATCCACAGGCAGAAAAGCGAGTGCAGACACACACCCTGCACCTTCACAAAAATTAACCCAAAATGGATCACAGACCTACATGTAAAATGAAAACTGTAAAACTCCTATAAGGTAACACAGGAAAAAAATCAAGATCACCCAGGATTTGGTGGTGATTTGTAAAAATACAACACCAAAGGCTGACCCATGAAAGAAATCATAGATCAGCAGAATATTAAAGTTAAAAACTTTTGCTCTCTGAAGACACTGTCCAGAGAATGAGAAGACAAGCCACAGACTGGGACCAAATAACTGCAAAAGAGATATCTGTTAAAGGACCGTTATCCAAAATACACAAAGAACTCTCTGAGCCCTGCAGTAAGAAAAGGAACAGCCCAATTACAGAAACAGGCAAAAGACCTGAAAGATGCCTCATCAAAGAAGACACACAGATGGCAAATAAGCCATGAAGAGATGCTCACCATTATACATCATTAGGGAAATGCAAATTAAACAACAATAGATACCACTACACACCTATTAGAATGGCCAAAACACGGCCACCAACACCACCAAATGCTGGCCAGGGTGTGGAGCAACAGGAACGCTCATCATTGCTGCTGGAAATGGTGCAGCCACTTTGCAAGACCGTTTGGCAGCTTCTTATGAAACTAAACACTCTCTTACCATAGGATCCAGCAATCACACTCCTTGGCATTTACCCAGATGAGCTGAACACGTATGTCGACACTAACATTTATAGCAGCTTTATTTATAGTTGCCAAAACTTGGAAGCAAGCAAGATATTCTTCAGTGGGTGACTGGGTAAACTGGGGCACATCCAGACTATGGAACATTATTCAGCACTAAAAAGAAATGAGCTCTCAAGCCATGTGTCTTATTCTGTTCAGGCTGCTATAACAAAACAAAATAAACCGGATAGCTTATAAACAACCAAACTCTACTTCTCACAGTTCCAGAGGTTGGGAAGTCCAAGACCAAGGTCCTGGAAGATTTGGTGTCTGTCCAGGGCCCAACTCTTGGTTGGTAGACAGGACCTTCTTGCTGTGTCCTGACATAGTGGGAGAAGCAAGGCAGCTCTCTGGGCTGGCTTTTGTAAGCGCACTGCTTTCATGCATGAGGGCGTAGTCCTCATGATCTCATCACCTCTCCAAAGACCCCACCTCCTAATACTACCACCTCAGGGGTTAGGATTTCAACATATGAATTTTGGGAGCACACAAACTTTCAGTCCCTAGCACCATGAAAAGACACAGAAAAACCTGAAATGCATATTACTAAGTAAAAGAAGCCAATCAGAAAAGGCTTCATACCATGTGATTCCAACTATATGATATTCTGGAAAAGGCAAAATGATGGAAACAATAGAAAGATCAGTGGTTTCCAGGGGCTGAGGGGAGGGAGGGATGAACAGGAAGAGCATAGAGGGTCTTTAGGGCTGTGAAACTCTTCTGTGTGATACTATAATTGTGGGTCCATGCCACTGCACATCTGTCAAAATGTATGAAATATACAACACCAAGAGTGAACCTTAATGTAAACTGTGCCCTCTGGGTGATAGTGACATGTCAACATAGGCTCATCAGTTGCAACAAACGTCCCCCTCTGCAGGGGGTGTTGGTAGTGGGGAAGGCTACATGTGTGGGGTCAGGGAGTGCATGGGAACTCTGTACCTTCTGCTCAATTTTGCTGCAAAACCAAAACTGCTCTAAAAAATCTATTTTCAAAATTGTACAGCTAAGATTTGTGCATGTCAATGTATATAAATCTGCATAAAAGACAAAGTAATAATTGAGTGAGGGGTGAGGAGTAAGTAAAGGCATAGATTATGCAACAGTGCCTGGGCATGGTGGCTCACACTTGTAATCCCAGCATGTTGGGGGGCTGAGGCGGCAGGCTGCCTGAGGTCAGGAGTTCAAGAACAGCCTGGCCAACATGGTGGAACCCTTTCTCTACTAAAAACACAAAAATTAGCCAGGTGTGGTGACGTGTGCCTGTAATCCCAGCTACTCGGGAGGCTGAGGCAGGAGAATTACTTGAATCCGGGAGGCAGAGGTTGTGGTGAGCCAAGATCCTGCCACTGCACTCCAGCCTGGGTGATACAGGAGACTCTATCTCAAAAACAAACAAACAAAAAAATGCAAGAGTGGAGGAATGTGACTAAGCATGGTGGCTGGGCGGTGGATACATGCAAGTGTCATGTGTATTTCTGTGTACTCGTATATTTTGATATCTTTCATAACAAAGACCTTTCTTTATAAAAGCAATTGAAGAGAAAATGCTCAAAAGGGAAGACCATCAAAAGAGATTAAATATGTGCATGACTGAATATCATGTCAGTTGTAAAGAGAAAAGCCAGTCTGGCTCAGATTTCTTTACAATGACAATGGTACTAGAGGGTCGTGGAGCATCCTAGGAGATCCTTAGTGAAAGACAGTGTGAACACCAGTATTATAACCAGCTAAACTGTCACAGACATGGAAGGCAACTGACAAACATTTCAGACATGCAAAACTCAGTGACATTATTCCTATGGGATAGAGGATAAACTGTAGCCAACTAAGAAATGAATTTTAAAACATTATTGGAAGCACTAGCAGTAAGTTTTGAATCTAACTATAGGACTAAGGCTAGAATAAATGTGTCTGGAAGAATTTATAAGAATGTAAAGTGATAAATTTCTGAGCATAGAGAAATCATAAAGCTAACCACGGTTTGGAGTGAAAGGCAGAAAGTAGGTGGGGAGAAGCTGGGTGCGGTGGCTCACGCCTGTAATCCCAGCACTTTGGGAGGCTGAGGCGAGCAGATTACCTGAGGTCAGGAGTTCAAGACCAGCCTGGCCAACGTGGCGAAACCACAGCTCTATTAAAAAGTACAAAAATTAGCTGGGCGTGGTGGTGGGCACCTGTAATCCCAGCTACTCAGGAGGCTGAGGCAGGAGAATCGCTTGAACCCAGGAGGCAGAGGTTGCAGTGAGCTGAGACCGTGCTACTGCGCTCCAGCCTGGGGAACGAGGGCAAAACTCCATCTCAAAAGGAAAGAAAGTAGGTGGGGAGGAAAAGGGTGCTGACTTCCTCATCTTTACAGCCAGGGCTAAGAGATATTATTTAAAATTGGTGAAGCAAGTTAACTTCACAGTGACAGGTAAGAACTAAGAAGGGTGAGGGTGACTGAGGAGCGGCGGAGGCTGGGTTCCCATATCACTCCCCCAGCTCCGCTCACGATGGGGCTCAGTAAATAGGAGAATAAAACAGCATCAAACTCAGAAAACGATCGTTTAAATTTTGTAACCAAAATAAACATATCCAAAGTTGTTCTCAAAATAGTAGGTATTTGTTTTACACAAAACGTGATGACAGTAAGAAATATTGCCAGTATAGACATCATCCCTTCCAGGCTGGTCTTTTTAATTTTGTATCCAAAAGCTACAGTGGTAAGACAGGGTAGCCAGAAACCATAGCAAAAAGCCACTTCCATTTAGTGATTGCATAATCATATTATCAGAAGAGCTCAGTAAAATAGAATTTTAGAGTTGCTTTTATGTCTTCGTTAAAAATGTTTCTTAGGCCAATGTGAGGTTGAGTGGTCAACTTAAGATTTTTCTGTGGAATACATTTCAACATTTTTTAAGTCCTAAGTCTGAGAAACTGGCTGTCTGCTACACGAAAACCAAGATGCGATGTTCTCAGATCTGGTTGTGGTCTCCAGGCACTCCACTATCTAAAGAAAGTAACCCCCTAAAATATCCCATCTCTAGACCATATATTCATTTGCTGAGAAGTCATTTGCAAGGGAATTTCCATATTCAATAGCCGCAGTTTAAAAACTTATTTGGGGTTTTCCATACTAAACATATATTGGGTGAAAAGTATTATCAACTAATAAAGTAATTATCATGCTTGCAAGCTAAATTTACCACCTTCTGATTAGGATTTCGCATCTAATGTCCTTCAAAGCAACTCAGATGAGGGGGATGCTTTCTTCTTCCTTCGAATCCTCTCCAGTTCTAGATGTTAAGGACCATGAGGCAGATGGTTCCCCTACCTCGCCCCCATCCAGTCCGTTTCTAGGAAGTATCATGACCAACTGGGCAGGATTTGGACACGTTCTGCAGAGAATGCCAGACACCAGCCCATCTGGTGAACATTAGTCTGCAGACTTCTTGGTCAAGGTAATGTTCGCATTGTTTGGGCACAAAATGAAAACACAGCATTTGATTTCACAAGAACTTAGAAAAATAAGCATGGTCAGAGCAAGTTGTACGAGGATCAAAACATTTAAAAAATAGAAAAAACACATTGGAAGAAAAAGAGGAAATTTTGTTTAAAAAAATTAAAAGCCATTCAAAGATACACCATGTCGGCTACAAAAGATCTCTTTGGAAAATAAATCTTTAATTCAACTTTTTTTTTTTACATTATTTACATTAATTTTGGTTGAAAAGAACCACGTAGATCAATACTTTTCAGTCATTTGTGAGTCTAAAGTTATGTTTCTCTGTATGCTCATAAAATAATTATACTACCTACATTTGTCATTGAAAGAAAAGATGGTTGATAAATGCCAGATTTGTGGGTCTCAGAATTTCCTTGTTTCCAGATTTCTAAGGCAGTTAAAGTGACCTGCTGTGTCCATAGGAGAGCACCTCTCGTGAATGTATGCCTTATGTCTTTGCCAAATTCAACCTTTTCTTACTCATTTTTATTCTAGGAAACATTCTCAAGTGTCAAAATAGTCAACTGTTAACTATGAACACAGGTCGATGCTGCTCTCTGCTTTCGACACGTGTCCCTTCTCTTGTTCCTGGGCACGCCTTGATCCATCCAGGCTCTGCTGCAGCTGGGTGGGCCCTGGCTGGGCTCCAGCCAGTGGACCGTGAGCAGGAGGAATGCTCCCCCTGCTTCCAGAGAGGCTCACAGCCTCTCCCCGCCTGGGCCAGGGAGCAGCCCCGGTGACCTCAAATTCACCTGTGAAGGAAGATGGCGAAGGCTCCCTCAGCCTGGGCCCCTTGGTGCCACATGGGGAGAGACTCCCCCCACCCAAACCTCCCATGTCCCAAGCTCCGCTTCACCACCCAGGCCCTGCTTGTCCTGCTCTCACCAAAAATGAACACACTTCTCTTACACTTGGGCCGTGACACATGTTCGTATCTATCTGTCATAACGGTGGCCTCCCTAAACCACTCAGTAAGTTACAGGACTTCCTTTCATTCCTGTATCCTGAAATTTCACTAACATTTCTGCCTTTTCTGTTCACCTCATGATACTCACTTCTGTTTTGTAACCAGAACTACTTTAGAAAGGCCCTTCCCAGACGCGGAATTCTTGTATGGTTTTTGTTCCCAACACCATGTCATTCGAGTTGTTTTCGCAGCAGCGATGGATTTATGTGGCTTTGCTAAGCCTCAGCTCATACTTGCCATGTTTTGTATCCATCTTGGGATCTGGACAAGAATCTGGAAAGGGGGCGTCTGTGCCAGAGTTCCCATCTGACCTACTGCTGTGGTTCCAGAACATTCCGTCCCCAGGATGTCCCAGCCCATGGCAGGTGCTCAGCGGGGGCTTGTGTGACCAGCTCAGACTCCAGTTCGATGTACTCAGAGGCTCCTCCAGTGCAGGAGCTGGCGAGGCCCCCTCCTCAGGGACATTCTGCTTTGCTCTTCAGCAGAGCTCGGCAGGGGACGGGGCGGGAGCCAGGCTGCAGACCCAGCTCCCAGTGGGCAGAGGTCGAGGAAATGGCACACAGACTGCTCACACTGTTTTACACTTTGCTATAGGTTACTCATATTCATTGTAGAAAAATATAAACAAGAAAAATAAGCAAAAAGAAGAAAAAGCCCCTCGTAGAAACATCACACAGGTGATGACTCATGCCTGTACCTACGTGGACAGACCAAACTACGCACGCACGTTGTGCTGTGCACATCTGACCCCGTGACACGCGAGGCACTGTGCACGTTTTTTTCATGTAACAATTATATCATTAGCAGTTCTTAAGGTCAGGAAGTGAAGAGCTGGATCATTTTAATACTGCGTAGAATGCCATGGTTTGAATAAACACGTCATTGAGTAATACTGTAGTGTTGGCCATTTAGGTTGTCCAGATCTCAGCTATTATAAAAAGGCTGTGAATCTATCTGGGGGCGTATCCCTTATTATCTCCACAGGATAAATTTTAAGACATTGCACACATTTTTAAGATTTCTGACAGGCATCGTCAGGGCATCCTGCGGGAGTGAGTGACCGGCCCCACGTCCTCCAGCGTCCCCCACCCCGGGCATAGCTTTCTTTTTAGTATTTGCTAATCCAATAATGAAACATGGCATCTTGTTATCTTTTTAAATTTGCAGTTTTATTTGTGATGTTAATCTCTGGCTCTTGAACCAGTCAAGGTGTTAACCCTTTGTGCGCTGCATATGCCTTTGGTTTGTAGCTTGCTTGTTGTTACTGTTTTGTTTCTGTTGGTTTTTCTTCTTGTTCTGATTCCTTCCTGTACCCTCAGGAATGACGTGAGGGTACCTGGGACTCTGACTGTGACATGCTTTCCACACGCATCTCTGTAAACATTGGGTCCTTACTCTGGACATTGTGTGAGATGAAGCCCCCACGGTAGGGCCGGAGGGAGCACGAGAGCGATCGTCAGAAGCCAAGCCGACTTGGGGGAGACCAGCTACCCTCTGCATGTGAGGGGCAGTGGGCCTGTGGCTCGAGTGTGCCTGCTGGTGCAGCAGGGACAGGCTGGAACCACCAGTGTGGCCCCCGACCGCTGCGTGGCCATGGGAGGGGCACCACCTCTTGGCTCACAGACCTGCTCGCCCATGAGTGCAGCTGTGACCGTGCCAGCCTCCTGGGGTTGCTGAGGATCAAATGAGAACATGCAGGTAGAGTGCTTACAGCAGCGCCTGGCATGCAGTGAGCCCAATTCAAATGCTTCTGTGGTAGAATTTGATCTTAATTTTATAAAGCCCTCTGGTTGTTTCATTACCTACAATCACAGGTTAATAGTTTATAAGTGCTTCTTAAAATTTTCCAAGTCATGGGGTCCAAACAGGCCACACTAGACACAGCTGGCACCTGAGAGCGTCCCTGGGGTTTATGTTCTGAGAAGCCGCTGCTCCCAGGCGAGGCCTGCACCGGGGATTGTGAGTGGAACAGGAGCCGGGCATTCAGAGAGGCCCTGAGGACTTGGCCACCACCAGCCGTGGCAGGAAATGGTTGGCAAGGACAGTGTCCTAAGAAAGGAAAACCTAGAAGGAAAATTGGACCCTCCAGAGACTGCCCATTCGATGAAGAAATGTCCTTCAGACGCCAGCTTGGCCCTGCAGCCAGCACAGGAACAGACCGGAGCCTGAAGCAGCCGCCATGTAACCAGATAGGGCTGTGTCCAGGAACTCCAGTGCAACCGTGGCCCTTGGCTGAGGTAAGCACAGGCATCTTTAAAAGCCATTAGGTTGCACCGGGCACAGTGGCTCACGTCTGTAATCCCAGCACTTTGGGAGGCTGAGGCGGGAGGATCACTTGAGCCTGGGAGTTTGAGACCAGCCTGGGCAACATAGTGAGATCCCATCTCTAAAAAAAAAAAAATAGCTGGGCGTGGTAGCATATGTCTGTAGTCCTAGCTGGTCAGGAGGCTGAGGTGGGAGGATCGCTTGAGCCCAGAAGTTGGAGGCTGCAGTGAACCATGATGGCACCATTGCACTCCAGCCTCGGTGACAGAGCGAGACCCTGTCTCTTAAAAATAAACATGAGCTCCACTCACACAGAGCTGGCAGGAATGAGTTCTGCTTTCATCAGGGTCCTCAGGGGACCCTCAATTGAATTCAGGTCCTCAACTGGATGTGGCCCACCACAACGGGGAGGGTCATCTTGCTTTCCTCAGTCTGCCAATTTGAATGCTAATCTCTTCCAAAAACACCCTCACGGAAATACCCAAAGTGATGTTTGACCAAATATCTAGGCACCCTCTGGCCCTGTCCAGGTGATACATGAAAGTAACCATCACAACACCGAGCCACCTACAGGACTCCTCCACCTCGCTGGCTAACAGGCACCCCCAACGTAGTCAGAAACAGACATCCGCTCTCCCTCCCAAGCTCATCAGAGGACAGGACAGACCTGCTGGCCATCACACAGGCGGGTCCTTGGACCATCTCTGGGCCTTTCTCCCATGCCCCCACGCCAGTCTAGCATCACGTTTTGCTGGTTCTATCTGCGTGAACACGCTGTGCGCTGAAAAATTCAAGGTGAGGATCAGTGGGTATCAACTTGCTACCACTTTCCAAAAACAGAAGATTGCTCACAGCTGCAGTTTTGCACATAGGTTTACATGAGAAAGTAACCAGGCAGGAGGAGCTTGGGGGAGGGACACTGGACACTGTATGTTTCTTTATACTTTTTGATGTTTGAGCCAACTATAACCTATTCAGAATTTCTAAACAGATAAGCCCACAATCCAAATGTTTGGAGTAGGCATTTCCTAAGAAATGCCCCCCACTCTCTAAGGAGTTTCTGCACTGAAAACTGGCCAGCGGGCACCCTGGGGCCTGAGGGAGGTGCTGAGAAGGGGCATGAGGTTGGGCTGGTGACCACACAGACAGGGTCCTCCCCAGGCTGAATTTTCAGATGCTTAGCGCTCTGGCCTCCCTTCCACAGTCTGCCCTGGCCAGGTCGGAGCCATGTGGTCAGTGAAAGAGGCTCCAGGGGATCAGCCTGCAGCTGACGGACACCAAGTGAAACTCTGGGGCCAGCCTCTGGGTCAGGCTGTGACATTTCCACCTGGTGGCACATGCCTGGTCTCCTTACCACAGACTCCTAGGATGGCAGCTCTGTGGCTCAAGTCAGAGAGGCAGACGGCCCCAAGAAAATAAGGTGGCCTGGGCTGGGTACAGGGAGGAGAGGGTGATGGGCTGGGCAGGTACACTGGGCAGTGCATGGGAGCGCGGAGAGCAGCAGCCACTAGAGAGCTGGGTGGGAACAGGGGTCAGGGAGCTGGGTGGGAGCAGGGGTTGGGGCAGGGCCTTGCAGGGCTTGTTTCTGCCCAGCTTGTAAACAGTACTGAATGCCACACCTAGGAGGTGGAAATCATGCTGGAGAGAGCTCACCCTTCGGACTCAGCACATTCACCCACTTAGTCAACTAGCACTCCTTTGTGCTACACTTGCCCCCAGACGTTGCCAGCCAGATCTCCTCCTGTTGGAATGAATTTTCACCTTTTTTCCCTCTGTCTTCAGAGCTATTTGGATGAGAATTTGCGACGGGCTGCCCCAGGGGCCATTTAGTGGGCGGTCATCTAAGCTGGAAGCCAGCCTCAGTCCAGGAGATGTCAGGTCCTATACTGAGCCCGTCAGGCCATGCTCTGCTCTAAGGCAGAGAAGGACATTACCCTAGTATCCATGGGGACATGGGGAGGCCAAGGAGAGCCTGTATCCTCGGTTTTTGGAACTCTCTGGGTCTGAGGAGATTGTTCACAGTAGAGAATAAGGAACTAAGACAATCTGAACAGGAGACTTGCTTCCAGCCAAGGTGGAGTAACAGGAACCATGTTTACCTTCTGCTTGAAAAACCAAACAAATCAAAAGAGAAAAACCACATGAAACAAGAGGTGTCAAGATACCAGCATCAGACAACGAGGGACAGCTCTGCCCGAGCCACAGGAGACGGACGGGGCGCCCTGAGCTGCCCCAGCCGACCATCTGGAGTGTCAAAGGCGGCGGAGCAGGGAGGGGAAGCCTAGGAAGTCCATTCATAGGCCGACCTTGAGCTCCTAAGAAAACGACCTTCTGGAACACAGGGCCCCACTCCCGCTGGGAGGGAAACAGCCATGGCCCCAGGATTTTGCCCCCACTGCGTTGCCTTTTATGAGTAGAACATAACACACTCTCAGAAATGAAGCCGTGTGAGCCTCCTCGACACACCGGCTGACACAGCGCCCGCAGGCTGAGTGCTTGGCAGCAGCGTGGAACTCGGCCCTGGCGTGTCGGAGCTCAGGGTGGCCCTGCGGGAGGGTCTGAGACTTCATGTAATGTGGCCAGGGGAGAACTGGAGCCCACCTTCCCACTTCATGTAATGTGGCCAGGGGAGAGCTGGAGCACACAGCGGGGCACTGTGAGCCCGGGCGCCACGCCGCAGCCTGCGGGTTCTGCTGAGGGTGCAGTCCACGCAGGAGGCTTCGGGATGGACAATTCCAAGAACAGACTTGCTAGGTAGTCCGGCAGGGAAGCACCAGCCTCCAAAGGCCACCACAGGCCTCCCTTCCACACCCACGCAGTCAGCTGGCGCCGGGGAGTGCACGGAAGGACCACGCCGGCAAGGAAAGCGCAGCTCTGAGCCCCCGCGCCTTCAGGCCCACCCGGAACTCTCAGGAACTCTCAGGACTGCTCCTGAGAATGCCCCTCCCAACCACAGCAGGTGACTGTCATGGGCGTCCGGAGCCTCTCAAAGATCCAGGAGGAGGCGTGATGTGGAGGGACCGGCCAGTGTGGCGGGGCCCGCAGCGCCAGAAAAGGCAGCTGCCGCAGAGTTGAAGAGCTCATCTTAAGAAGAGTCCCAGAGCACCGCATGTTCTCACTCATAGGTGGGAATTGAACAATGAGAACACATGGACACAGGAAGGGGAACATCACACACCGGGGACTGTTGTGGGGTGGGGGGAGGGAGGAGGGATAGCATTAGGAGATATACCTAGTGCTAAATGACGAGTTAATGGGTGCAGCGCACCAGCATGGCACATGTATACATATGTAACTAACCTGCACGTTGTGCACATGTACCCTAGAACTTAAAGTATAATGATAAAAAAAAAAAAAAAAGAAGAGTCCCAGAGCATAGAGGCCTGACTTCAGGTTACAAGCGCAAGGACGGGGCCAGACACTGCCACGCTCCGCAGGCGCAGCCAGCAACCCGTGTTACGGGTGCAGCGGTCACCACGCCGCAGCCGTTCAGGTCCCTCCCTCCCTTAACCAGATGCTGTCAGCCTGTGGCTTCTGTTGGTTTTATTGAACAAGAGCCACGGTGGGAGGGAAGATGATTTTGTTTAGCCTCCACTTTCTGCAGAGCGGCTGGGAGTCTGAGAACATCAGGGTAGCCAGGCGTGATGAGCATGTATGGTACACGGTCATGTTGGTCTGTGCTCCCACAAACTGAGAGGTCTTTTAAGGAAATCCCTCCCCAATCCGGAGTTGAGTCATCTGGCTTCCATCTCTGGGCTCCTTAAATAACCAGAATCTCAAATTAGCCATGAGAAAGAAACACACAAAAACATCTCTTTATGATAAAAAGGGAGACAAAACCCCAAAGCTGACACGTGGGACAGAGACTGCTCCGTTTGTCACCATTCCTCTCTCTTCCTGCACCTTCCAGCGTCTTGTATTCGTGGAAGGAGAGAATGAGCTGGAACAGAAGGAGAAGATGTAGGCCACTCGCCGGCGGCGGAGTGACGCCGCCGCCACTCCAGAGATCCCGAAATAAAGACGGTTTTTCCGCAAAACATTTGCTCGTAGGAGATGCAAATGAGAGATATTTTTAGGAAATATTAATGCACTGAGCTCTAATTTGCAGACTGCGATTTACTTCATCCCCTCCCCTAGCCAGAGCCATCTGAGCGCTTGGCTCCTTCCTGGAAAAATTCCGCTCTGGAATAATGACTTGGTTTCCTCACAGGAAGAATGCATGCATACTGTCAAGAGGCAAACAATACCCAAAGTTACAAAAAAGAAAGCAACAACAAACCACGAATGTCACTGCCAGACTCCTTGCCCAGAAACGCCCCTCATTCATGTTGGGTGAGTCTGGGCCCTGTGCAAGACATGGACAGAACACGCAAGCTGATCGTTGAGGAGATGCAAAGTTTAGGATTTTCCTTGAATTTAACAGAAGAAAAAGAAATGGAGTAAAACTGAAGGACTGCTAAACTTCACATAAATGAATCTTATCCCAAGAAACACTTATCCCTCAAGGATAGCCAGGAACCCCTGAAAAAGAAAGCCTAGTTCCGCCGCCTGTACCCCTTTCCTGACAGCCTCAGCCCTGCTGACAGTACGGCGTCCTCCAGCGGGTCGTGCCGGACAGACAGACACAGGGTGGACAGGAAGCCCAGAAGGAGGCCCGTGCACCTGGGAGGTCAGCATGAGATAAAGGGGGTGCCTCAAACCTCTGGAGCACAAGTGGACTCTGAATAACAGGGTAAGGGGCACGCCGGATAGGCTTGGAGAAAAGATGAGAGGTCTGCCTCACGCCACACACAAAAATACACTTCCAGTGGCTTGGGAACCCACATGTGAAACGGGAGCTCAGACAAGTCCTGGAAGAGGACATGAGTGCATTCTTCTGTCATCTGGGTGCAGGGATAGACTCTCTAACCATGACTCAAAGAAAAGAAAAGATTGGTAAATATGGGCATAAAAAAGGAAAAATATATTGCACAGCCAAAAGAAAACACCACAAAGACAACTGAAAAACTAGGAGAAAATATTTGCAACATAAGCCACAGATGAAGGACCAATGTCCTTTTTTCTTTTCTTTCTTTTTTTTTTTTTGAGACAAAGTCTCGCTCCATCACATAAACTGGAGTGCAGTGGCGCAATCTCGGCTCACTACAACCTCTGCCTCCCAGGTTCAAGTGATTCTCCTGCCTCAGCCTCCTGAGTAGCTGGGATTACAGGATTACAGGCGTGCGCCACCACGTCCGGCTAATTTTTTTGTATTTTTAGTAGAGACGGAGTTTCACCATGTTGGTCAGGCTGGTCTCGAACTCCTGACCTCAAGCAATCCACCCACCTCGGCCTCCCAAAGTGCTGGGATTACAGGCATGAGCCACTGTGCCCAGCCTCAACATCCTTAATAAATGAAGAACTCGTACAAATTGAGGACAAAGGACCATAAATCAGAGAGACAAACAGAAAAAGGACATAAAGAGACAGTTCCCCCAAAAGATTAAAATGAGCCTTAAACACTTGAAACCTGTCTACTCACTCATCCTTAGAGAACGCAAACTTCAACCAAGGCCAGGCACTACCTCTCATCCACGAGACCGCGCATCCGTCCGCTGGGCTGTGGGAAGCAGGTCCCAGTCCCTGGCGGGGATGCCACTGGGTACAGCTCTCCCAGAGGGGCGTTGGCAACACGGAACAAAATGACATGCACACTTACCTTTGACCCTGGGAAGATGTCTCCAATTTCCAAAACGAAGACGCCCGTGGTTGACATCCTTCCTCTGCAGCACTGTTTGTAATTGCAAAACACGAGCGACAATCTGAGCATCCACATACAGGAGGGGGTTGGATGAGCTGGGGGTGTCCACCGGTCTGAGAGGTTTTTGGACACACAGGCAGGTGGACAAAGCGAAGTTCCAGAAAGTCTAGAGGGTGCTGCCCTTCAGGAAGATGGCCATGAGGGGCAGGGAGGGGGAGGGGTGTGGGGCAGTGGCGTGGAGGAAGGAGGGTGGTGGGGGGAGTGGGGCTCAGGGAGGGGGAGGGGTGTGGAGGAGGGGGTCGCAGAGTGGGGAGGGGAGTGGGGGCAGGGAGGGGAGGTGTGTGGGCAGTGGGGGCAGAGTGGGGAGGGGTGTGGAGGAGTGGGGATAGGGAGAGGGGGGAGTGTGGGGGAAGTGGAGGGAGGGAGTTGGAGGGATGGTGTGGAGAGTGAGGGGCAGGGAAGGGGAGAGGTGTGGGGGAGTGGGAGGCAGGGAGGGGGAAGGGTGTGGGGGATGGGGACATGGAATGGGGAGGGGTGCTGGGGCAGTGGCGGCTAGTGAGGAGGGGGACAAGGGAGTGAGCTTTTAATCAGGGTTGATTAGAACACAGAAGCTTGGCCGGGTGCGGTGGCTCACACTTGTAATCTCAGCACTTTGGGAAGCCAAGATGGGCGGATCACTTGAGATCAGGAGTTTGAGACCAGCCTGGCCAACATGGTGAAACCCCGTCTCTACCAAAAAAATCCAAAAATTAGCCAGGCGTGGTGGTGCGAACCTGTAGTCCCAGCTACTCAGGAGGCTGAGGTGGGAGAGTCACTCGAACCTGGGAGGCGGAGGTTGCAGTGAGCCGAAATGGCGCCACTGTACACCAGCCTGGGCAACAGAGTGAGATCCTGTCTCAAAAAAAAAAGGAAAGAAAAGATCATGGAGGATTTTGCAGGTTGGTAAGTGGTGGGAGGGAGGCAGAATCAGAAGTGGCATTCAGGACCCTCCCATCTGGCTGCACCTGTCTTCCTCTGCTCTCCTCCCCAGTCCCTCCCCTGCCCTCACTGGCCCCTGGCCCCTGCCATGCCAGGCCCTCCCTTCCAGGAAGCCCTGAGGCACCCGAGTGACAGGCACTGGCTCCCTGGGCTCTCCTGGCTGGGGTCCACATCACTTTCCTGCCCGCTGGGCACAGGCTCTCCCCCAGGCCTCTTCTGGACCTGGGGAATGACTACTGGTCCTGTAAGAATGTCGTCTCCTTCAGGAAGTCCTCCCTGACCTGGCCAAGCAGAAGTCTTGCCTGACCACAGCACCTCTCACGTCTGTGACGAATCTGCCACCCTGGGTGATTGAATGGCTTGTCCCAGCTGCTGTCCCAGCCACCGGGCCCACTGTCTCTCCCTAGGGTGTGACCCACACCTTACCATTCTTTTTTTTGAGATGGAGTCTCGCTCTGTTGCCCAGGCTGGAGTGCAGTGGCGCGATCTTGGCTCACTGCAAGCTCCACCTCCTGGGTTCACGCCATTCTTCTGCCTCAGCCTCCCGAGTAGCTGGGACTACAGGCGCCCGCCACCACGCCAGGCTAATTTTTTTTTTTTTTTGTATTTTTAGTGGAGACAGCATTTCACTGTGTTAGCCAGGATGGTCTCAATCTCCTGACCTCGTGATCTACCCACCTCGGTCTCCCAAAGTGCTGGAATTACAGGTGTGAGCCACCACCCCTGGCCACACCTTACCATTCTTAATCAGTTTAAGATTAGCTTAAGAAAACATCTGACCATGAAAGTGAATACAGAATACATGTGTCCATTACTAAAGCAAAGACTGCTCACCACCCCACCACTGTTAGAATTTACAATCTCCGCTGCCCTCTTACAGAGGGAAGAATCCACCCCTTGTGGGAGCAGCTGCTACTGTGAAAGAAGCTCTCTGAGCTCTCAGAGCCGCAGTTTCACCTGCTAAACGCCTGGCCCATCAAAAGTGAATGTGAGGCTGTGAGTGCGAGATAGCAGCCGGGCCCCAGACACCTGGCAGGGCACCAAGCACGCAGGCCCTTGGCACTGGTGTGTGCGAGGCAGGTGTATGATTGGGAGCCACTCAGGAGACCCCCAGGAGGACCCCATGCTCAGGAGGGCTCTCTGCTCAGGAGGACTCTCTGCTCTGGAGGGCTCAGTGCTCAGGAGGACTCAGTGCTCAGGAGGACTTGTTCTCAAGAGGGTTCCATGCTCGGGAGGACGGTGTTTGCATTTTGAGTGCTCTGTAGTTGTTATCTTGATATTTTAACAATTTTATTATTGAATGTGTGCTTTGAAAGAGAAGCCCTGTGGGGCAATGGAGTAATGGGGCTCGCAGCCTTGACTCACCCGAGGCCACTCCACGGTTCTGACCCTGACGCCTCTGCCTGTGAAGGCCCCTCCTTGTCTTGCAGGTATTCCCATGCTCAAGGGAGCACGGCAGTAAATGGCACGTAAAAATCACTGTGACAGATTGAGAGGGCAGGGGAGGGCGATGGAGGGAGGAGCACAAACAGAGACAGACTTTGGAAAAAAGGAAAGAACGTTTTTCATGTTTCATGAAGAAGCAGTCTCATTTTCATTTTTCAGTGCACCCTGCAAATTATGTAGCCAGCCCAGCTCTCAAGTATTATACAAATATGACATATCCTGCCAGAGTTTGCTCTTTAATGAAACTAGAGAAGTCGGCAGGACCTGAAAATCATGTACAGTAGCCTCCACCATCCTCAGTTTCACTGTCTGTGATTTCAACTACCCACAGTCAATTGCATTTTAAAATTATAAACCGGAAGGGTCCAGAAATAAACCATTCACATGTTTTAAATTGCACACCCTGTGAGGAGCACACGGAAATCTTGCACCGTCCTGCTCTGTCCTGCACAGGATGTGAATTGTCCCTTTGTTCAGCATATTCACGCTGTCTACGCTACCCGCTGTTAGTCACTTAGCAGCCCTCTTGGCAGTCAGATAAAAGAGACATGGTACATATAGTGTTCTGTACAACCTGGGTTTCTCCCCCTGCCTCTGGGTTCCCAAGGTCTTTGACCTTGGAGAGAGAGTTCTACCATTGGCTTCCCTGGTTTGGGGCTTTTGGACTTATACTGAGCCACACTACCAGCACCCTAGTGTCTCTAGCTTGCAGATGGCCTGTGTGGGACTTCTCAGGCCCCACAATCATGTGAACCAATTCCCCTAATAAATCCCCTCTTTATCTATCTGTCTGTCTGTCTGTCTGTCTGTCTGTCTGTCTGTCTATAATCTATCCATCTATCTATCTGTCTGTCTGCAGCTTCAGGCACCAAGTAGGTGTCTTGAAACATATTCCCCACAGATAAGAGGGGATGACTGTACTATGCTTAGTTTTTGGGACCTCTGAGCTTACCTCCTGGTGTCACCCTTCTATGTACTCTGCCATGTGGGCACAGCAAATGCTCTCTATAAAACTGTATCACAGATCCCAGCCAATGCAATAAGGCAAGAAGAAGAAACAAATGACATACAGATTGAAGAGGAAAAAGCAAATCTGTGTAGATTCATAACCAATATGATTATAAATGTAGATGCAGAAAATCCCAAAGAAGCTACAAAAAAGCACTAGAATTAGTAAGTGAATACAGCAAGGCCAAAGGGTATACAATCAATTACCAGATCCATTGCTTTCCTATACATTAGCAAGAAACAACTGGAAAATTAAAATTTAAAATACCACTCAGACTAGCAATAAAAAACACAATATTTAGGAATGAATTTAACGGAAAGTTTTTGTGATGGTTCATTTTAGGTGTCAACTTGACTGGATTAAGAAATACCTAGAAACTTGATAAAGCGTTATTTTGGGGTGTGTCTGTGAGGTGTTTCCAGAGGAGATTAGTGTGAGTCTGAGTGGACTAGTGGGTGAGATTCGCCCTCAGTGTGGACAGCACCATCCAGTTGTTGGGGCCCTGGAGAGAACAGAGACAGAGAAAAGGTGAATGTATGGAGCTCCCTGCTGGAGCTGGGACACACTCATCCTCTCCTGCCCTTGGACAACAAGGCCAGCCTCCCTAGCCTTTGGTGCCAGGGCTTTCATCCCCTGCCTCTGGGTTCCCAGGCCTTTGACCTTGAACTGAGACTTCTACCATCAGGTTGCCTGGCTCTGGGGCTTTTAGACTTGGACCGAGCCACACTCCCAGCACCCTAGGGTCTCTAGCTTGCAGATGGCCTGTAGTGGGACTCCTCAGGCCCCACAGTCATGTGAATCAATTCCCCTAATAAATCCCCTCTCAACTGTCTATCTACCTGTCTGCCTGTCTGTCTCTCTGTCTCTCCCTCTCTCCATCTACCCATCTATCCACCCATCCTATTGGTTCCGTTTCTCTGGAGAAACCTAACACAGATGTGCAGGACCTTTACCCTGAAAACTGCAAAACACAGCTGGGAGAAATTAAAGACAACCTAAACAAATTGTGAGTGTTATGGTCTAAATGTTTCTGTCCCCCTAAAACTCATATGTTGAAGTTCTGACTCCCAAGGTGATGGTTTTTGGAGGTGAGGCCTTTTGGGAGGTGGTGTGGTCATAAGGGTGGAGTCCTCATGATGGGATTAATTTCCTTATAAAAGACACTGTAGGCTGGGCACAGTGGCTCACATCTGTAATCCCAGCACTTTGGGAGGCCGAGGCGGGCAGATCACGAGGTCAGGAGTTTGAGACCAGCCTGGCCAACATAGTGAAACCCCGTCTCTACTAAAAATACAAAAAATTAGCTGGGCGTGTTGGTGGGCACCTGTAATCCCAGCTACTTGGGAGGCTGAGGCAAGAGAATCGCTTGAACCTTGGAGGCAGAGGTTGCAGTGAGCCGAGATCGCACCACTGCACTCCAGCCCGGGTAACAGAGCAAGACTCCATCTCAAAGGAAAAAAAAAAAGACACTGCAGAGAACTATCTAGTTCCTTCTGTTACATGAGGCCATAGCAAGAAGGCACCATCAATTGTGGAGGCTGAGGAGTCCCACTACAAGCTGTCCACAAGCTGGAGAGCCAGGGATGCTGGCAGTGTTGCTCAGTCCAAGTCCAAAAGCCCCCGAACCAGGGAAACTGATGATAAAACCCTCAGTCAAACCAAAGGCCTGAGAACAACAGGCAAAGGGTATAAGTTCTGCAGCCAGAGGCTGGGGAGCCTGAGCCTTCACCAGACACCTTGACCTTGGACTTTCCAACCTCCAGAACTGCAAGAAATAGATTTCTGTTGTTTATAAGCCATCCAGTCAAAGATGCTTTGTTATAGCTACCAGAATGGACCAAGACAGAGAGGTATACCATGATCATGGATTGGAGGATTCAGTACTAGGAAGCTGTCCATACTTCCTGAAATATCAATATTATTCTAATAGAAATTCCAGCAGGCTTTGTTGTAGAAATTGACCAGCTGATCCTAAAAGTTTAATGGAAAGGCAAAGAACTTGGAAGGGGGCAAACAATCCTGCACACAGCCTACAGGAATGACACCAGCTTCTTTTCCTTAAGCTATAGGATGCAAGACAATGTGGTGTCTGTGGGAAGCAAAACAAATAGATCAATGGAACAGAATAAAGAGTCAAGAAATAGACCCACTAAGCCCTGGTGCAGTGGCTCACACCTGTAATCCCAATACCTTGGGAGGCCAAGGTGGGAAGATCACTTAAACCCAGGAGTTTGACACCAGCCTGGGCAACATAGGGAGACCCTGTCTCTACAAAAAGTAAAAATGAAAAAATTAGCTGGGTGTGGTGTTGCACACCTGTGGTCTCAAGCTACTGCAGAGGCTGGGGTGGGAGGATTGCTTGAGTGGGGAGGTGGAGTCCCCAGTGAGCCATGGTTGTGCCACTGCACTCCAGCCTGGGCAACGGAGTGAAACCCCGTCACAAAATACCGAAAGAATTAGTTGTTGTAACGGAGGCTAATATGCTGGTGGGAGTGAGCTCAGGTGAGCGCGCCCCTTCCATAGTCACCCCAGTGTCCACCGCACACATCCTTCAGGCAGTGGAAGGGGTGGAAGTGCCCCTCCCCTTCCTCCTACCCTCCCACCCTTCTTCTTCCTCTCCCTCCCCCTCCTTCTGTTGTGTTTTACAGATACATGAGGGGCGGGGCCTGGGGCCTAAGCACTGGAATCCTCATGGAGAGGCTTCCCTGGAGTCCTTAGCTGCAGAGTGGTGGGCATATCTGATGCCCTTATTCAGATCTACCCACTGCGATATGTGTGAAGTGCTGAAGCTTTAATAAATAAAACGCAGGAGGGCTTGAGAAAGGCTCTGGGTATGGTGCACACAACCAGCTCATGCTCAGGGGATCGGGAAGGGGGTTCACCAAGCGCCCATGGAGACTGCATGCACTTATTTAATGAGCAACAAAGACATTACCAGACAGTCAAGGAAAAACATGTGTTTTTCCACTTTGGGAAATAGTCAAACTTTCATATTCCACCAAAAATAGAAGTGGAATTCTAGAAAACAAAAATAGGTGGGCTTATACTTGTATGCCATTCAAGCAAACCCGCATAGACTATGACTGCTCTCATCTCTCTGGAATGTGTGCTGTGTTCCCAGGAGGTCCGGGAAGGAGCCAGGACAAGAGGGAGCCTGGGACCTGTTCCTGGGCCTGAACTCCTGCGGCCACCAGGGTCCCTCCTGGTTCTCGTGGGGCCATCTGGGGTTGCACCCCTCCAGATGTGCTCTCCCTCCCCTCCGTCCCCTGAGGCGTTGATGACCGGCGGGAGACCCTTGCCCCTGAAAAGAGACTGGCCGAAGAACTGATGAATAGCTCCATCACCAATCTCCACGGTGGCCCGCACAGGACGGCAGAGACTTTTCTCCTCGAAGACCCTAGGCTGCTGGCAAACACTGAGCACTGCACCGCACGGTGGAGGGTGCTGGGGAGGGGCGAGCCTCTGAACCTCAGTGCAGGCGGGAACAGTGCCTCACATTTCTGTGGCTGATGGAATATTTAATGCTTAGTTTATACTTTCTTTTTACACGGTTTGCTTGAGGCATATTTTGTTGACTCATGACTTTACAGATAACTTCTCTGATGAGACTGAAGCCCAAGGAAGGGACCAATGTCCAGTAAGTGACCTGGTCTTACATCAACCAGAGCTGCTTCCATGCACTCAATAGAAAATGAGGCCCGAAGCCTCTCATCTGCTAGGCAGGGCCAGGCCACAGCAGCCCCCCATGGCCAGGACGCAGTTGGGGAGGGGGGCCAGGTCACAGCAGTCAGCAATGCCCCGTACCCAGGCCACAGACTCCCAACCACCCAGGCCACAGGAGACCCCCACTACCCCCAAGTCAAGCCACAAAAGTACCCCCCCCCCCATGCCTTAGGCCTCAGCAGGGCCAGGTGGAGCCCTGAGGTCTGGGCTTCTTCACCATTTTCCTTGTTTCTTCCACTCCTTGTCCTTGAAGCAAGGGGGTGGGCAAGCAGAGAGGGGGATTTGCTAGAAGGATCCTGGGGTATCTCCCGGGCTTTTTCCAAGTTGGGCTTTTTCCAGAAATGCAAGGTTGGTATAACATTTAAACTTTAATCAACTTAATTCATCATATTAATGTAATGAAGCAGAAAAATCATACTATCATCTCAATAAATGCAGAAGAAAGAATGTGATAAAACTCAGCATGCATTCAGGAAAAGAAACTCTTAGCAAAGTGGAGATAGAAGTGAGCTTCCTTGATCTCATCGGGGGCATCTATATTTAAAAATCCTACCACAGATCTCACACTTATTAGTGAAATATTGAAAGCGTCCCCCCTGAGGTCAGGAAAAAAATAAGGATGCTCACCACTAACACTTCTTTTCAGCAGCAGCTGGTGAGGTAAGCCAAGAAGAAAGCAATAAAGGATAAAATGATCAGAAAGGAAAAAATGAAAAAGTCATTATTCACAAACAAAATGATACGTATATAAGAAACCCAATAGAATCTACAGATAACTATTGAAATTATTAAGTGAATCTGGAAAGACTGCTGGTACAAGGTCAATACACAAAGATCAACTGCATTCTAAATAAACCAGAAACCAGTGGTCAGAAAATAAAAATAGGGAACATTTTAAATGATCATCCAATGCACCAAATGTCTGCGAATAAATCTAATGGACTATGTATGTAATATCTACACAGAAGACTAGAAGATAATGAGAGCAACTGGAGAATATTTAAATCAATGTAGGGCTAAACGTGAACTGGAGCACTCAATATTGTGAGAATATCCGTTCTCGCCAAATTGATCTATAGCTTCAATGAAATTCTAATAAAAATTCTAGCAGAATATTTTGAGGAAATTTATAAGCCAATTCAAAGATTTAAATGGAAATGCAAAATACCAAGTATAACCAAGAAAATTTTGAAAAACAGAAAAACTGCAAGGTGATTCTACGGTGTCAAAAGAAGACTCATGAGAAAGCTTCAGTAATTAGGACAGGAAACAGCAGTTCAAGGCCAGTCCTCAGCACCTAACAAAATAGTTCAGAAAAAAGCAACAACCCATGCCTATATGGATGCTGAATTCACAACAAAGCTACTGCAGCAGAGCAGCAGGGAGAAGGGAAATCATGTCAGTAAATGGTGCTAGGTCAACTGGGCACCAAACACAGACAACAGTTATGGACTGACTCTGAACCCCTACCTCACATTGTACAGAAAAACAATTCCTGGTGAATTGTCCTCTAAATTTGAAAATTGAAACAATAAACCTTCCAGAAGATAACAGAAGCATTCCTTCATGACCATGGAGTAGTTGAGTTTTCTAAACAGGAAACAAAAAAACCCTAACCGTAGAAAAAAACGGTAGATAAATTGGATCACATTGAAATTAAGAACTCCTGTATAACAAAAGACTCCACTGTGATTATGGAAATGCAAGACACAGGGTGAGAGAAGGTATTTGCAACACATATAGCTTGCCAAGAGTTTGGGTCTAGAATATATAAATAACTTCTACAAATAAATAATAAAGAAAACTTGTGGCTTCTTCACCAGAAAGGATGTGCATGTGGAAAACAAGAACATGTAAAGATGCTCAACCTCACTGGTCATTAGTGAACTACAGATTAAAGCCACTGTGAGGAACTACCACCACCCTCCAGGGTGGACAAAGTGTCAACACCAGCTGTTGATGTGGACAAGAAGCAGCCAGAAAGCTCCTCGCCTGCTGGTAGGAGTATAAAATGGCTCAACACGTTGGAAAATCAGTGTCCCCTCTGGAGTGGACCTATGTGTCTCCTGTGACCTGGTACACAACCCAACAGAAACATACACACGTGCGCTGAGAGGTGTAAGAGAAGGTTCACAGAGGCACAGGTTGATGGATCTCATGAACACAGCGTCAAGTGGAAGAATCAAGACACGAAAGAATACATTCTGTGTGATGTCACTTATGTGAAGCAAAAACAGGCATAACCAATCTGCGGAGGTAGGAGTCAGGGTAGAGCTTATCTTTAAGGCCCAGAGGCAGCTGTGGCTATGGAGGGGCACGCCGGACACTCCGAGTTGGTCACGTTCCGCTGCTCGCCCTGGTGGAGGTTTCACAGCTGTGTCCACTTTGGGCTAATGTGTTGAGATGTACATTTATGATATGGATACTTTTTGGTGTATGTATTATATCTCAAAAAAGTTTGAAAATACATGATGATGGCCACTTTTCACACCACCGTTCATGGCTGCTGTATCCCTGAGTAGCTTGTATAGGTGACAGTCAGCCCGAGTCCCTGAGATTCCAGTTTAAAACTATCAACTGCAAGATCTTGAATATATGGTAGTTGAAAGTTTCCTAGAGAGAAGGCTTTAAATAACCACATGAGCCATCTAATTTGTCACTAACCCAACTGTACTTAGGCTCAGCCTCCAGCCTCCATCCCCTCCAGAACAGCTCCTGGAGATTCAGCAGAGCGCGGCCTGCCCGCGCCCTCCCTCCTCCCCACTCTTGCCTGGCTTCAGTTGCTAATTACCTTTTAGCTTCTCAGGAAAGACTGCTAACATAATAATTAAGACATAACTCGGCAAAATAGAAAAAAAAATCTCCTTTTCCTGGCTCTAGTCCATTATTTTAGAGTAGTATGTTACCAGGAGCCATACTGTTTTTGCATCTGATTTATTTTAAAAATCTAGTATCATTCAAAAGAAGTTGGTGAAGCTGCTAATTTTGTTTGCTTTATATATTTATACTCATCCCACAAAGAATTTGAGGTGTTTGGTGTGTCTCTATATTCGCTTGCTCTTTTAATAATTTTTAAAAATGAGTTTCTCCTTAAGGATCATGTACTTTTTTTTAAATCTATTTTTAGTTCATACTTTTGTTACTGTTGAACAGTATCATCTTCCAAATTACACGTTGTTTGCTGCCGATATATAGAAATCATTTTGGGGGTGTGTGCATGTGTGCCAATTTTATACCCAATAATCTTGCTGAATTTTAATTAGATCTAAGACTTTGGCTGTAGATTTAAAATTATCTGCCTACATAACCATATTTATGTCTCCCTTTCCTCTCTTTATACATGATCAAGTGAAATAATCAAGACACAAAAGAATACAACCTGTGTGAGGTATTAGCTCACTGAAGCCTCCAACCCCTGGCCTCAAGCAGTCCCCCTGCCTTGGCCTCCAGAGAAACACGCTTCCGTCTTTTCTCTCCTGCCTCGCTGGGCCTTCCCGCCTCCCACACTCCCTTCTCTCTCTATGCTCACCTCTAATGCTAGGCTGAGGCTCTTCGGGTCTGGAGCCAGGTTCCCTTCTTTCCTTTCTCCATTCTCTCTTTAGGGGATCGGTGACGTCTTCCATTTTCAAGGGTTTCAAGTGTCCGTCTCCAGCACGGCTCTCCTCTCCGGACATCAGTCTTTTGTACGTAGCTATCTTCCCAACACAGCCACTCAGACATCCTGTAGGCATCGCAAACTTAACGCACCCAAAAGGAATGCCTGGTTTCGTCCCCCCATCCCCCGTGTCATCCCAGAGCACCATCACCCGCCAATATGTGCAAGCCAGGATCCTGGGTAAGCCCTGATGCTTCTCCTCCCCAGACCCCTCTAGTGACTCTATCACTAAGTCCTGTTGAGTCTAATTCCAAAAGCCTCTTAACTCTTTCCATTTCCACTGTCAACACCTGATGAAGGTCTTCTGCATGGAAGCCGCAGGCATGCCTGAGCTCTAGGCAGACACCGCCGGGTAAGTCAGAGCCTCCGTCCCCTCACCGGGGTGCTGATTTGGGTTGTGTTTCTCCCACCCCCAGACAGTCTATGCACTTCGATGGCAGCTGCTCCACCTCCCAGTTCCAGAGCTAGGCCCTACTTGGCTAAACCAGGGATTGCCTTTCTCTGCAAAGGGCCAGATGGCAAAGATCTATGGCTCTACCGGCCACATAAGCCCACTGCATCTATTCTTCATAAGCCCCCACCCACCCCAACACTTTACATGTTTAATGTTCATTCTTAGCTGTTGACTGGACACCACTGGGCCCAGGCTCAGCCTGCCCACCTCTGACTTAACCACGCAGCACATTCCCTTTCCCTGGTCTCTACAGAGTGCAAAGTGGCCTGACCAGGAGGACTCTTCTGACCAATGGTGGCAGAAGCCTCCTCTCTTCTCTGACTTCATGTGCCATGGAAGTGCTTTTTCCTCTGCCACAGGCACTCCTGCTGTCAATGCCTTCTCATCCTCCAAGGCTCAATGCAGCTTCCTGCATTTTTCCTCTGCCACAGGCATTCCCGCCGTCAGTGCCTTCTCATCCTCCAAGGCTCAGTGCAGCTTCCTGCAGCTTGCTCTGACACTCCTGAGCGGTGCAGCTGCAGTGCCCTGGACTCCTGCAACCGTTCACACTCCTCTTCATTAGGAGCCTGCATTTGTACATCACCACTGGAGCTTTTCCACCCATCGTCTCCCTCTTCTGGATGCAGAACAGGCTCAGACAGGCCAAACAACTTGGCCAGTGCTGCATGGCACAGCCAGGTCCGCACTGACTGTCACGCCTCTGTTCCTGCCCTGGACGGTGTCTCAGGTAACACACTGCACTGCTCCCTGACACCATCTCCCCACTAGAACATGAACGCCCTGAAGCAAAGACATCTTCCTGGCCACGTGTTGACCTATGCACGTGACACTGCCTACGGCGCTGAAAGGCCATCAGTTCGTCCTCTCTCTCCTGCCCCTGTGTGTCTACCCCAGTTTTCTCTCTTCAGGCTGGCCAGTGATGGAGACCATCCTAATTGTGCTGGATTTGAACCCTTCAGGCCTAGGCACAAAGAGAGACTCACGATTGTCTCAATGCTAGCTCTAAGCACCCAGGGCCATCCTGGGAGTCAGAATCCCGCCTGAGGTCCTGGAGTGGGTTGTGGGGGGGTGTGCTGTGTGCCTGTCACAGAGCACAGACAGACTGTTCCTGCTGTGTCACTGTGGGAGTTGGGAGTTGTCCTAGAGACAGTGGCACATTGTGAGCTGGGCAGGTCTCACACATGGTATCCACCACCATGGCAGCTGCTGACTGAATGGTTTGGCAACATCTGGTTTTTGCCACTCCAGTCTCATGTCTTCTTATTTTATTTTTAAAATATAGGGCAAAAAATATTATGTCTCAAATCACGGTATCACCGAATATTGGTCACCTCTTATTAGCAGTTTTATGCTCCTCCTGACGTTTGAGAAACAAGGAAATCAATAATCCACTTTAGGCTACAATCTAAAAAGTACCTGTGAGTGTCCTTTCTCAAATAGATTGGGCAGAATTAAAACAAAGCAAGATTGTTTAAAGCTACATTTTTAGTTGCACACAAGGACTATAGTCAAATAGGCTTCAAAAGCACAAAGGCTGTGGTCAGTCATCAGCCCTAGGACACCAGGACCAAGACCAGGCCACAGTCTCAGCACAGCAGGTTGGCAGCTCGCTCTGTAATTGATGAGACAGAAATCTGAGCACACGGATTGCCCTGTGTGGCTGGAAAGGGAAAGGAAGGCTGTCCTGGCCACCGCGGCCCAGGGAGGCCAGCACACCCGTGCGCAGGTCACGTGACCCACTGCTCTGATCCCACCGTTCTAGCCACAGTCTGCCAGGCCCTGGGCATGACAGGAAGGGGGTTCACAGATCAGTGGCATTTACACGGGTAAGCTTTGAACACTGTCTTCAACTGAAAGGCCAGTGTGTGAACAGGCCGGGCAGCTGGACCACTCCGAGGCTGGCGCCTTCCCCTCCTTTCGGGCAGTTCCCAGAAGGCTCAAGACCACAGTTTGAAATCCACTTAATCTCTCGAGTCGGCCTGGGTCTATATCCTAAGACCGTGGAAATCATTTTGTGCCACCGTATCCTGTAGGCATTGGCAGGACCAGCGTAATTTTTAGTTCTTCTCGTGGGAGACAGTCACAGGGTCATGCCATTTAACTGCACTGAAGGGAAAACGTGGGAAATGGATTTTTGGTGCTGTGTAGACCACATTTCATAGCGGTTGGCATCTCACATGCTTATGCAAAGCCTAACTCCGCACCCTGGGGCAGACAGTGGGAGCCCAGCTGGATTCCTACACTCAAGCCCTCCAGCATCAGGTTTATTTTCCAGGACACCAGAGTGATTGTTTATTCCATAATTCCCACAAAGGAGACAGTAAACAACAGAACAGAGGTGGAGCGGGCACGGAAGGCCAGGAAGTGGATGGTGGCTGCCAGCACTTCTGTGGAGACCCAGGGCCCCCCTCCAGGAGCCCCGGTGTTCAACCTCCACAGTGAACAGGGGATGGATGGCTGAGATGTCCTCGAAATTTTTTTGGACTTCCTCAGGCGACCACAGGATTCCTTCTCAAAGAGCCTGATCTCAGCAGGCACCCGAATGGGCATCCTGGTGCTTCATGCTCTACAACAGCTGGGAACGCCATGTCCTGGCCCCAGGCGACTGGAAACTGCTTTCCTCCCCGACATCAGCACCAAGGGGAATGTTCCCAGTGCCATTCTTCCAAGTCAGGGAGAGCGTCACAATAGAAACCGTCTCTGTGGAGAGGATGGCACCTGAAGCCATGGAATAGGAAGGGAGCATCAGAGGCTGCTGGCTGGTCCTGCAGAGCCGCCTGAGAGGCCTGTGGGAGCAGCAGAGGGTCCCGGCCTTGGGCGCCATCCGCTCTCTGCTGCTCTGGAGGGAGAAAAAGGACAAGTTGAAACTTGCACAAGCAGCCTCCATTCTGGGGAGTTCCCTTGTATTCCCCACACCAACCCGCACCTCAGCGAAGGCCTGTGGAAGACTTCTGCAGTGACAGCCCCGATGAACCATGCTTGCCGTGCCCGTCCCCTGTGCGGTGCCTCACGTCCACTCAGGCCCCGGCCATCTCACCCTCCTGGGGAGATGGAGGGAAGCACCATGGGGATTTGCTTTTTCTTGCTGCCGACGGAGCCCAGCCACCACGGGAGGGAGGCCCGGCCAGCCTGCGGTGGGTGGGTGACATGTGGCCCGGATCTGCCCGGGGCGCCTGCCTGTAAGTGGGCCCAGCAGACACCCCATGGAGCCGAGGCAAGCCGTCCCAGCTGAACCGGCTTAAGCTGCAGGCCCACAGAGTCATGAGCAGTGAAGAGAGGTTTTCGCCCTCTGAGGTTTGGGGTGGCCTGTTACACAGAAATACACACAACGTCCTCAGGCACGTATCTCTTTAAGAATGTGTCCCGAGAAGGCGTCCCAGGAGTCTTGATTTTTATTTAGCCGTCCACGGTTGCCCCTTTGGGTGCTTCGCCTTCAGATGGGGTGAAGGGCTCACTTGTTAGCTGGCTGGCCCCAAAGACAGGCTTGTTTTCCACCAGGCAGTGACTGAAGCCGGCAGCCTGCTGCATACCGCGGGCCTTCCCCTGACCTGTCCGGGACTGCGGGCTGGCGGCTGACACCTGCGGAGTGCTTACCGCATACCAGGCTCCCAAACTTCCATCTGTGTTCGTCTTTTAAGTTTTGTTGTTTTCCAGAGTCGGAGTCTCAGTGTTGCCCGGGCCAGAGCGCAGCGGCCATTTATAGGCGCGGACCTCGGCCTCGCACACCACAGCTCCAGCTCTGAGACACAAGCGACCCGCACCCCCCCACCGCCCAGCCCCAGCCTCCAGACTGGCTGAGATCACAGTGTGCGCCACCCCATCCCTGGCTTGCGATGGTCTCTTACTCCCCACTTTACAAGGGAGGAAAGAGGCCGAGGGCAGAGTGGGCCGCCTGAGGTTTGGAGGCCAGGGCTAGTACAACCTCAATTTGACCCTGGAACCTGCCGCTTCCCCCACCCAGGTGCGGGACCCACCCGCTTGTCCACACCTGGCTCTGCCCACCGCCCCCGGCTGCTCCTCTGGGCTCAGGTCGCCGCGGTCAGGAGCTGCCAAGTTTGCCTATCAAACTTTATCTTCGTGCAGAGAACTGCAGCCTGGAGCTGGTTATTCCGGTCAGTGAAAACGTTGCATTTCTACATATGCTTATCATCATCTGTGTAAACATTTCTTGGTATAACTGTGGAACAGTCAGTAAATATAGATAAATCGAAGAGTAGGTCTATTGCATATGCTATAAAAAAATGCTTTTACTATCAACCTAAAACAAACAAACAAACAAAAAAAATCAAACAAAACCACCATCACCTAAACGTTGGTAACTGGAGCAGCTGCTAGTGTCAGTGCGGACTAAACAGGAGACGGCGGGAACCGTGTCCAGCCAGGGTCCTGGGCCGCGACCTGGTTCTCCCGGAGTCTACAGTGAGGATGACGGGCGGGGAGAGGGGGCCGGCGGGACCCGCGTGTCCCAGGCAACTCCGGGAGAGGGAGAAGCAGGGGTGGCTCGGCGGGGGCTCGGCGGGGGCTCGGCGGGGGCTCGGCGGGGGCTCGGCGGGGGCTCGGCGGGGGCTCGGCGGGGGCAGCGCCCGCTGCAGGGAGGAGCGCGGGGGCCCGGGAGCCTGGGCAGCACCGCGAGACGCCACCTCCGCAAAACGCAAACGCCAATCGCCGGGCGCCTGCGGTCCCAGCTACCAGGGAGGCTGAGGCGGCAGGATCGCGTGAGCTCGGAGGTCCACCGCGCTCCAGTCTGGGCGACAGTGAGACCCCGTCCCCAAAACGAAGGCGGGCAGAGTCTCCTCAGCCGCGCTCGGGCGGGCGGCGCCGCGACGCCAGGCCGGTCCCGCGCTCTCGCCCCACGCTCCGGAGCCGCCCAGCCGCGGTCTCTCAGCTCCGGCCGCGCTCCAGCCCCAACGGCCCCGCGCCCGTCCGCCGCAGGTGGTCGTGAGGGAGGTGCCACAGCTCCGGCTGCCCACGACAGACACGGGCGCCCCAGCGCGCGCACGTCCGGCGTCGCTGCGCCGCCCCCGCCCCCTCGGCGTGCGCGCGCCCGGCGGGCCGGCGGGGGCGGGGAGGGGGCGGAGCCGCCGGCGGCGGGGCTGAGGCGCTGAGGCGGCCGTGGCGGCGGCGGCGGCGGCGGCGGCAGCGGCGGCCAAGCGGCCAGGTTGGCGGCCGGGGCTCCGGGCCGCGCGAGGCCACGGCCACGCCGCGCCGCTGCGCACAACCAACGAGGCAGAGCGCCGCCCGGCGCGAGACTGCGGCCGAAGCGTGGGGCGCGCGTGCGGAGGACCAGGCGCGGCGCGGCTGCGGCTGAGGTGAGGGCGGCGCGGGGCCGCGGCGGCTCGGGCGGGCGCGGGCTCCGGACCCCGCGGTGGCGGCGTTTATGTAAGCGCCGGGCAGGGACTGGTGGTGGGGCCGGAGCTGCGGGCCGTCCCGGGAGCGGAGGGCGCCCGCGGAGAAGCGAGGGTGCCGCGGCACCGCCTCGCACCCACCCTCCTGGGTCGCCCGTCTGCTCCGGCGCTCGGCTCCCGGAGGAAGCTGCGCCCGGGCGGCCCCGCGTCCCCTCCCGAGGGCGCCGAGTCCGCGTGGGATGCGCCGCGCTGCGCCGCGGGGAGGGCAGGTGCGCCGGGACGAGGCTGCGCCCTGGGGACCGAGACTGCGTTTTGGGGAGGGGACGGTGTGCCCTGGAGATCGGAGGCTGCGCTGGGGACGAGGCTGCGCCCGGGGACCAGAGGCTGCCCCGGGTACAAGGTTGCGCCGGGGAACGGGAGGCTGCGTTGGCAACAAGGCTGCGCCTGGGGACGGTAGGCTATGTCCCTGGGGAGACGCTCCGCCCGGCATGGGACGCTGCGCCGGGGGACGGCAGGCTGCGCCCGGGATGAGGCTGGGCCCGGGCAGGGGAGGCTGCCTTGGGAGGGGACGCTGTGCCACGGGAGTGGAGACTGCGTTGGGGACGAGTCTGCGCCCTGGACGGTCCTGCGTGTCCTTCCGAGGGCGCAGTGTCCGCGCGGGATGCTCTGCGCCGCGGGCGGCCCGGGCCAGGGAAGTTCCTGCGGGTGCCGGGCGTCTGCAGCGATCGGGAGCAATCTGGGGCAGTTGGGGGCCCGAGGTGACTTTTGACGTGTTCACATCAGAAGGAAAATTATTGCGTGGTGGATGGGTGCGAGGGAAGGTGTCAGATTGGGCTGTGGACGCTGAAACGTGTTGGAGTCCCGATTTACACGCTGGAAAACCTAACCTAAAACGTGTTCCTGTCCAGGTTTCTATGTCGGAGATCTGCACCGTGGTGTTTAGTTCCCAGTTAATATTTTTGGTCAGCAGGTTTGGGCTGTTACTTCTGATACAGGCATTTTACTTCCTTCTTACTAACCATTATTGCATTCCGTTCTCGAAGTATAACGAAAAGTGGCATGATATCAAACTTGTTTCTTTAACGTTTAACTCCATAATTAAGATGATAGAACCGTAGTTTTTTTAATTGAGAATACAAATATGTATTTAATCCTCTTTGTTTCCTCTTAAATTTTGCCGTATGTTTTATTGCTTCGAAAGGTGCCACCCAGAGCTGCATTTTCCAAAACGCTAGGTTGTCTTAAGAGCAGTTGTTTCTAGGAGATAGAAAAGCTAATTGTCTTTTGATGACCATCTTTTCCTTGGGGTTGAGACTGCTGTATCCTTTTTGCCTGCTGAGGGTTTCCCAGAGGGGAAAGGGAGAAGGAAGAAAGGATAAAAGCTTGGCTGATACAGTTCCTTCTTGGATAAGAGAATTAACTGTCTCTCATTGCGCGGTTCCTCCGGAGGACAGGGTCCAGTATGCATGGACAGCCACAACGGGGGCTCGGTAAGTATTTGATGAGACAGGCTGAGCTGGGTGCCTATATCTTGCCTGTGGTGGAGAGGATGAACTCACACAGACTCTGAAAGGAATGCATTGTCTGTGAGTGATGCCCTGTTAGATGTCTGAGGGTTCCTAAGACTGGGTATATCCCACTACATCTACATCACATTTGAAGCTGTAGTTGGAAAGGAAAAAAGGAGGCCCTCCTGCAGGGACAGGGGCTTAAAAATAATCGATCCAGCTCTGAGAAATTGATGACACATGTGTCTCTGGTGTGACGTGCTCATGCAGTTGTTACTGGGAGGCCAAGGGGGAAGGATTAGCTATGAAGTGATAACATCATCCACAAAAAACATCTTGGCTCAGAGGCTAATTTCACTTCCTCGTGAATTTATGTATTGTAAAACATTTGAATTCTTTTAGATTTTTGGAATAAGAATTTTTTTAACTTCTATTTGTCCAGTGAATGCATAAAACAAACTTAATCCATTTGACAAATACTTGTCTGTGGCCTGTTATGTGCTAGGCCTTCCCTGTTTTAGGCCCTAGGAGATACAGTACTTAACAAGATAGGTAGAGATCAAAAATGCTTCTGGCATAAAGCAGTACATTTGTATTGATAGATTTAAAAAGATAAGCAAGCACACAGTACCTACAGAAAGGTAAAGCCTCATTCCACTCCATCCCTGGGCACTTGGTTCAAAGGCTGCACCCAATTGTGTATTGTCCTAGCAGGAGTCAAAGTGTGTATTGTATATGTTTTAATATATGACAAACCTTGCTATAGTGCATATTCTTACACGTGGGTACAAGCAAAGCCTACTAATTAGTTATTATCAAAATTTCTTAGCTGTAAGTTTTACTTAAGAACTGGGTTTTATTCCCTTGAATGCTGTGATTAGCTCTGTGATCAAACAATATAATTCAAATAGGAGGTAGTTAACTTTGGAAAGAAATAGATGAAGTTACACATTTACCAGCCTATAAAAAAGTTTAGCAAAGTTATCAAGCTTAGTTTGAAACCAAAAAGCTCAGAGAGGTCCAATTTTATTAGAAAACTCAATGGTGGCCGGGCGCGGTGGCTCACGCCTGTAATCCCAGCACTTTGGGAGGCCGAGGCGGGTAGATCACGAGGTCAGGAGATCGAGACCATCCTTGCTAACACGGTGAAAACCCGTCTCTACTAAAAAAATATAAAAAATCAGCCGGGCATGGTGGTGGGCGCCTGTAGTCCCAGCTACTTGGGAGGCTGAGGCAGGAAAATGGCGTGAACCCAGGAGGCGGAGCTTGCAATGAGCTGAGACCGTGCCATTGCACTCCAGCCTGGGCAACAGAGCGAGACGCCGTCTAAAAAAAAAAAAAGAAAAGAAAAAGAAAACTCAGTGGTTTTCTGTGTCAACTTTCTAAAATAGGAATTTCTAAATCTGTAATTTGGTGTGATGGAAATGGTGTTAAAAAAAAACCCATATTATTTTGTATGTTCATAATATGTGAGGTAGGAAAAGCAAATGGGAAAATTAAAAATTGTCCAGTGAAATCATTAAGATTCCTTCCTTATTCCTTGAGTGACTTTTCTTTCCAAGTTGACAGCTTTTTATCTGGGGTGTGGACAGGGACAGCGCAGTAGCCCACAGAGGTCTTCGTGGCAGGGCTTACCGCACCTTCCATTTGCAGAGTTTTGCTTCATCCATAGCTTGACAGCTGTTGGGCTAGGGCCATTAATATCAAATTATCACAATTTTTTTTTTTTGGTAGTTTGATTAGTACTGCTTGCTGCACTTTTCCACCTGTATGCCTATAAGATGTCCTAGGCGTACACAAAGAAAAGTGACTTTGGTTTTAGGTTTAACGTCTTTGTGATGGAACAGGAAGGGGGATGAAAGTAACTCTGAGATACCTTGTATTTTTATTGGAAGTACAGTGAAATGGAAGCTCTACTTGCTTCTAGTTTGGTGATTTTGGAACCTGGTTCCATTTCATTTGCTTGTTCATCCAACAGGCATTCACCCATGCATCCTGGCCCAGGTACTGTTCTAGGTATTGGAGATTCAGGATGAGCCTGATGAGGAGAGTTCCTGCCCTCAAGCGGTTCATTTTCTTGGGAAGGAGGAGAGCAGTAAACAAGCATTTGGTGTCCTAACTGCTTCAAAGGGCAAATGAGGCAGGGTAGGTGAGAGAAGGTCAAATAGGTGGTGAGGATGGAGTGAGCTGGGCTGAGGTCACGGCAGCAGCAGCCTCTCAGGCACAGGGAACTCTCGGGTGAAAGTCCCTGAGCCTCCTTGTAGTATGGTGGTCACCTCAGGGAGGCCATTGCTGCCAGAGAGGCTGGGCGAGTGGTAGGAAGTGAGATGGGAGTGGAGGAGAGCTGCATCTTGGAGCACACAGGCTGTGGTAAGGAATTTAGATTTTAAGTTTGATGGGAAGCCTTAAGGGAGCCTTTCTTCCTTCCTTGCGAATGACATGATCTGATTTATCTTTAAAAAGTACCACTCTGGCTGTTGGGCTTACAATATGCCAGGCTGTTTTAAGAGCTTTACATATATTAATTCATTTATTCTTATGACAGTCCAAAAAGTAGGCATTATTATCATTATTCCCATGTTACAGGGGGGAATACCTAGGCACAGAGTGGTTAAGTGATTTACCCAAGGTCACACAGGAAGTGGCAATGGCAGGATGTACCCTTACCTCCTTACTGCAGCTTGCTTTTTGCACCTCCACTACTGCAGACTGGAGGAGGAATATCAGCAAGGAGATCAGTTAGACTTTTGTGAAAGCTGGGTGACTGTACCGGCACCTCAGACCAGGGCGGAAGTGGTGAGATCAGATTCAGCCTACTGAATTTCAGCATTTGTAAGATGCCATCATTTTTAAGTTGCATCATCATTTCTTATGCTGCTAACAAAGGGAAAATGTAGCCAACTAGATTGTGACACAATGCTTTCTTGTTACCCAGCATTCATTTATACTCATTGAAAGAGCTTAGACTAAGCATTGACTTTTAAAATCATATAATTCATGCACTTTCATAAAAAAGGAAAATACAAGTAAAATAAAGTAATTCTGAAATTTCTTCACATCTAGAATCTGATTCTTCCAACTCAGCTTTTGACTTGGCGTTGGTGCCAGGTATGAGATAGGGAAGTCTGGGAAGAGCCAGTGTTGGGATTTGAACATGTGGAGCTTGTGACTGGAAGGCAGCCCAGCTCAGCAGCTCCACTCAAGGGCCAGATCTGGAGGACGAGGGTTGGGTCATTGTGCAGCTACTTCCTAGATGATCTTGAGCAAGCAGTCTAATCTCTGTGCTTCAGTTTTCTCATCTATAAATTAGGAAGAATAAAAGCAACTTGTCAGGGTTGTTGAGTTGCTAATGTAAAGTACCTAAAATAGTACCTGACTAACAGTATTTAATGGGGCTTACTTTGCTTATTATTTTTATGATTAGTTATCTGAGTAGAGAAAGGTGAATATGGATGGAAATTCAAGGTCAGGTTCAAGAAGAGGTTGGGGCCAAATATGTAAATTTGGGAGTCATTTGCATATTGCTGATCTATGAGGCATACAGTATGGATACAGAGGAGCAGGAGATGAGGAATGGCCTGGGAGCTTTTGGCAAGCGGTCCACATTGGGAGGGAGGGTCTAGCAACGCCATTGAAAAGGACTCTGTTTGAAGAAGGAAGAAACTAGTGAGAGTCTAGTGGCCTGGAAACCAAGACACCGAGGGGTTCTTTTCTTCTTATTCTTCGTGGGCTGGAGAGTTTCCTATTGGCTTTGATAAGAGGTGGTTGTGAGTGACCTTGATAGGTTTGGAGTGGTGGGGAGAGGAAACAAATAGAGTAGAGGTGGGAACATCAGTGTAGACGACTCTCTAGAGGAGTTCTGTTAAAAGGGAAGAGTCATGGGATGGTGGCTGGAGGGGACATGGGTACAGGAAGTTTTTAGTTGTATTTTTAAATGAGAGCGATGATAGCATGTTATGAGCTAATAGGAATGATCCAGTAGAGGGAAACATTTATAATATGCCAGGAAAGAGGATAATGTTGGAGCCAAGTCCTTGAGAAGGTGAGAGGGAGGCAGGAAGAGCAGGGATGCTCAGCTCTAGAAGGGAGGCGGGACTTCAGGAGGGAGGCAGGACTTCTGCACGTGGGAGCCTGGACTCAGAAATATTCCTCAAGACATGCTGCCCTTTTGAAAGGAGGATAGGAAATAAATCATGGTTTTGTCCTCAGTCCTAAAAAGTTCGGAATCTCACCCTAGGACTCAGGATCCAGCTTCTTACCAGCTTGTGCTGAACATGCCATGGGGCGTACTTACGGAAAGATACATGTGGAAATGGAATTTTTTATTTATTTAAAAAATTCACTTTTCTCTAAAAGTATTGTTACCTGGAGGTTGGCACCTTTATTCACCAAATTCAGTACTCAGAGGACTAGAAGACTCGGTGCCTGATTTGTGCTTGATTTGCCTAGCTGGGAATTTCAGTTTTGCATTTAAGACGACTCCCTCACCAACCCTACCCCCAGAGGAAAGCAGGTATTGTTGCTTTGGGCCTGTTGCATGTATATGTTTATGTTCCACTGGGTCAGCAGCATTCAGTGAAACACAGTTGCCTGTTAACTTGGTAAAATATCTTAATTGCATGAGTTTTGATTTGTTTTTGTGATTATTTGATTTTTTCAGGTTTGGAGTTTCAGAACACCCATCTTCTCAGTAGTTCAGCCAATGCGATGAAATGTGAAGAAGCCTTCCCCAGCTTCCTTGCATTCTCTCCATCATCTGTGCAGTGGAGAGTAGTTCCCACTGCTGTGGAAACATTTTCCCTTTGCTCTTTTCTCTCAGGGCAGGCTTTCCTGAGTGCCTGCTCTGTGTGAGTCATCGTGGGAGGATGCGGTGGAGAAGGACAGGGAGGAGGTCTGTGCTTCTTTGAACTGACATTCTGGTGGAGAAACTAAACAGATCACAGAGGCAGACACCGTGCCTCACAACTACACACGGACCCGGCTTATGATGGTTCCAGTAACAATTTTTGACTTGACTGTGGTACCCATACAGTCATTCTGTTTTTCACTTTTGGCATAGCATTCAATAAATTGCATGCGATATTAAGTACTTTGTTATAAAATAGGCTTTGTATTAGATGATTTTGTTCAATTGTAGGCTAATGTGAGTGTTCTGAGCACCTTTTAGGTAGGCTAGGCTAAGCTTTGATGTTTGGTAGGGTAGGTGTATTGAATGCTTTTTCAGGTTAGGATGTCTTCAACTTGCGATGGGTTCATAGGATCGGAACTCCACCGTCAGTCAAGGAGCACCTGTGCTGTCTTTATTGGCATGACCGAGGAGACAGGGCTGAGGTAGATGGCATCAAGAGGGTGGCTCCTGGTGGAGGTATGATGTTCTGGGAAGGCCTCTCTGAGTGCGATGTGGTACGCTGAGGCCCAGAGGGAAAGCATGAGCTCATGTCAGGAGGGGGGACAACAGCCTTCTGGCTAGAAGGATAGCCTGCCAGAGAGCCTGCTTATTAGAGTGGCCAGGATAGGACCAGAACCATTGTCCAGTCAGGGGCTAGGAGGTGAGGCTGCAGAGACACAGGGGCCAGGTCCTGCAGACTCTCAAGAGTGCAACAGGAAGAATGGAGGCCTGGGTTGGCACTGTTGCCATGATTTAGCGGGGCAGAGGTGGCAGAACTGGAGAAAAGAGAGCAGGTGTGAATTCTTGGTTGTGGGCAATAGATCAGGTCTTGGAGACAAGGGAAGTGGAGGGACCAAGAAGGGCTCTTGGAGCTCTTTGGATGGTGATGATGTGATGATGCCACGTTCCAGAGGATCTCAGGTTAGGAGTCTTCAACTAGAGACCTCATTTTGTATTGGGTTCTGTTTGAGTCTGCAAAGCAGTTGTCATCTAATATGTGACTAGCAGAATATTTGTTTGTATAGATACCTCTCAACTTACGATGAGGTTCATAACTTAAATATATTGTCAGTTGAAAATGCATTTAATACACCTAACCTTCAAAATTCAAAGTACACTTTCTATTAAATATGTATCACTTTCACACCATCATAAAGTAAAAAAATCATAAGTCAGACTGTTGTAAGCCAGCGTCTGTCTGTACCTTCCCACGGCCTACAAAATTTGTAATGCATTGTTTGTAAAACACAGACACGTGCATTTAAACTTTTATTAGGTAGAACTGGCTCTTCTTCAGGGTCCTTGTAATTAAGTCAGTTATTCCTCTCATGACATTCTTGTAGGAGGTCTCATTACCCCTATTTATCAGATCAGAAAACTGATGCTAAGGGGCTCAGTGACTTCCTAGGAAAGCTGGATAATGTTTAACATTTATTAAGCTCTTACCATGTGTCAGACATGGTAAAGTGAGTTTAATCTAGTTTAATCCTCATGATGATCTTAGGATGTTGCTATTAAGGGTCACTGTCATCATCCCTTTTTACTGATAACACTGGCCTGGCTTACCTGAGTAGCCTCCTAACAGATCTCTTCTTCCACTTCTGGTCTCCTTCAGTCTGTTCTTGACCAGCAGTCGGATCTGAGCCTGTACATGGAAGACATCACGTCATTCTCCTGCTCAGAGTCCCCCTGCGGCCTTCTTTCCTGCTGTCCCTTCCTGCCACTCAGAGCCCTGGCTCCAGCTGTCTTGGGGCCTATAGCTAGCCCTCACTTCAGTGTTCATGCACCATTGTGTGCTGCGTGCCCTGCTCACTGTTCTGTTTATTTCTGCCATCTGTACCCACCACTACCTTCCTCCCCACACAGCCTGCCTGGCCAGAATGAAAGCCTCAGGAAGGCAGGGCTATTGCTCTGAATCTGTCCTGAGGGCTCGGAGCAATGCCTGGTAGATAGACACTTGTAAGCCTTTGCTGAAGGAGAGAATAACTTTAACTTACTTTTTCTGTTGGTAGTAAGTAGTAGAACCTGCATTAAGTTTATCTGCTTCTGAAAACGTATGCTTTTGCTGCCTCCCTACACTGCCCCCCCATCCTATTGTACTTGGTGAATCAGTCATATATTTATGCCCCATATGTCTGTGTTATCTCCAGATTTCCACACTTTTCTATGTAGAATAGAAACATTTATAAAACATTCAAAATTGTTATAAAACCATAAAGTTTGACATAGTAAATTATCTGTTGAAAACAGGGAGGCCACATCCTGGAAAAGTAGCTCTGTCCTGCCAGCATCATTTTAACCCCTTTTGGACAAGATACAGTTGAAATGCATTCTCTGAAATAATACTTATAACTACATCTTGACAGAAACAAGAATATTTCGAATAATTCTGGGAGGATTCAGGAAAAGGCAGCCAAATAAAATGAAAAAATACATTTGATTCAACTGTGGAGGCTTAAAGGAATTACACATCTTTTTTGTTTTTTTGCGACAGCGTCTTGCTTTGTTGCTCAGGCTAGAGTACAGTGGTACAATCATAGCTCACTGTAGCCACAACCTCCTGGGTTCAAGCGATCCTCCCGCCTCAGTCTCAGCCTCCCAGGTAGCTGGGGCTACAGGTGGATGCCACCACACCCGGCTAATTTTTGTATTTTTTGTAGAGACGGGGTTTTACCGTGTTGCCCAGGCTGGTCTCGAGCTCCTGGACTCAAGGGATCCAATTGCCTCGGCCTCCCAAAATGCTGGGATTACAGGCGGAGCCATTGCACCTGGCCAAAAAAGCATCTCTTATAAGCTGTTTTTGGTGAAGGAGCAAACAGGAAAGTGTCCCAGAATTTGGGAGATCAGGATTGTAATCCCAGCCCTGCTTCTGAACAGGATGGTGCATTCTCTTCATGCCTCTGCTGCAGGCTCCTTGGATGTAGAATGAGGGCAGTTGAATTGCTTGTTGCCGAGGTTCTCTCCATTTCTGGAAGACTATTGTAAGTCAGAGTCAAATAATCATTCATTCAGTTGTCCAATAAATACTCATCATAGAACCTATGTGTAGTCCTGTCTAATGGTAGGTGGTGCTACGTCACTTCCTGCCATGGCTGCCGAGGCTCACGCGAGGCTGGCACTTGGCAGAGAGTCCTGTCCCTTCTTTTGACTCAGTAACTGTGGAAAGAGGTGAGGTATAGGAAGGGAGGGCCTAGGCCTTAGGGGTTAAGCGGGCTTAGGAGGCAGGATTGAGAGAGGTGGAATGATGGATTCAGAGTCCAAGAGAAAACGTGAAACTCCAGGGGATTAGAATTGATCCCTTTCTCTGTTTCCTCAGTCTTAGGGGGACTAGACTGTGTTAGTTGTCTTGAATTAAATTGAGCAGGGGTTGTTTTTCACTTCTGTAAGTCCAGAGTTTATCATAAGCCACCAGAGGTAATTCAGTAGTAGTTAATATTTCATTAACCCTCACTTCTAAAATTACAAAGTTAGAAGTGGAGGTCTTTAACATATATATCAGTCAGGCTGGAGAGTAAGTTGGAAAGTTGCATTTTATTCCTGTGTGTTTACTTATGGCAGTGCACATAAGCCCAGTTTTGTTTCTTTTTCTTTGATTAGTAACAGTTGGGCACAAGGTGTCCAACCCACCCAGTGTTAAGTCACTTAGAGTGAGTTGATTTCCTTGAAAAAAGGAATCTTTTCAAGAATGTAAAGTGGCTTCTCGTAGTCTTCGTGAGGCTCTGGAGTCAGACACAATACTGGGTTACCCTGGGACCATGTGCAGTGAGCCCGGGCTTCTGGAGTCAGACACAGTACCTGGTTACCCTGGGATCATGTGCAGTGAGCCTGGGCTGCCGGATGCCGCTGGTGGGCCCTCTGCCAGCTGCTGCATCCCCAAGCCCTCTCTTGTGTCATTGTTTTCCCTTTTCAGGAATAGTTTCCACTAGGGACCTGCTCCCTCAAATTTCTATCATTTGAGGTGAGGTTTCGTGTTGGTTCATCTGACTGGCCGAGTGCACCCTGGCTGTGAGAACAGGAAATAGAATTCTGGCTTTTGTCTTAGGGATATCCCCAGGTAGAGAGAGGAGATTCAAAAGATGCTGGGGAGCTACAGACGTGACCTCTGACCTCTACATGAAGAATGGTGGAAAACACTTACTACTTAGTGTTAATCTACACATTTCACTTGGTTTAGACCTAAGCATAAATAGTGTGAAGTCGATTTAAACAGAGGTTACAGTTTCCAGAAACTTCAGCGCCGTGGCTGCAGTTAAACAGCAATGATTGGACTCTTTACGTCTACTCCATTCTCGATATGAATGAAAGTAGTCACATCAAATGCATATTTATTAGTCTTGGTCATTTTGAATTTGAGTCCTTTACATACTATGTATGTATGTACCCAGGAGCAGAGCAGGGTTAAAAGTGACATCTTCTAACTTCTACTCTGGAATTTTTTCCCTCTGCACTTTTTGTTGTCACGTAGTAGATGTTTTCACCCACATGCAGGTGAATGAGTGACATATTTATCTTGTTACATAGTGAAGCTTTCAATTCTTTAATTTTATCCCTCTAATGAAACTGTGAGGAATTGATTCTGTTGACACAGAAAAGGCTGGTGTCACATGAACCTAAAGGACGTCATTGAGCATGTGCCTCTCACGCAGAACTGACATAGAGCCTCCCGTGCAGCTCACCTTGAATTCTCCATGCACGAATCAGCCATAGGCACGTGTTATGTGTGGCACAGGCAAGAAGTGCCTGATAGATTTTAGTTCTGTTTATTGCTGGAAGCCCTTGCTGTAGGAAAAGGAAGGTTTTTTCCTTTCCTGGACAATGATTTTGAGCTACGGTGTAGAATGGAAAAGGCAGGCTTTGATTTGCCAGACACTGCTTGCTATGTGTGAAGCCGGGATAGGGCGGTGCTGTTGGACAGAAGACCTGCCCTGTGTGCCTTTTCACACTGCATTGAGAATTTGTCTAGATGATTTCCTGGGCTTATTGATTGTTGAAGGAAACAATGCAAATTGCAAGTTATGATCAAATAATGCTTTGAGTCTTCACCTTTTTAGAATGCTCTGGGAAAATACGGGGAGAAAATAAACCATAGGAAAGGCATTTTGAGGCGGTTTTGTTTTGTTTTAAACAGCTGCCATGAAATGCACCCTCTCTAAGAGGACAATTCAGTGATTTTCTGAATGTCTGAGTTGTGCAGACATCACCACTGTCTAGTTCTTGAACACTCCTGTCACCTCAAATGTTCCCTGTGCTTGTCTGCAGTTGATTCGCGCACCCAGCCCAGCCTCAGGCAACCGCTCAGGCAGCCTGCCTGCTGTTTCCACATGTGCCTTGCAGATATTTCATGGGAAGCAGCTCATGTCCTGTGTCATCGTTTGCATCAGGCTTTCACTTAACATGTTTTTCGGGTTCATCCGTGTGTTGTAGAACATATCAGTAATTTGTTCCTTTTAGTCGTATTGGCGTAGCGTGTTCGTTTATTCCACTCCAGCGATGGACTTTGGGTTGTTTCTGCATTCTGGCTATTATGAATCACGTGACTTTGAACATTAGCAAGCATGTCTGCGTGTGGATGTGTATTTTCATTTGTCATAGGTAGATTCCTAGGAGTTCGTAGGAGCTTCGAAATGGAGTTTAAGACAGAAGCCTTTGTTTGATACTGATAATGCTAGCAAGGGCCATTTATTTGGCTTGCTCTTGAAGTCTGTCTCTGTGATGTGCATTGTGCTTCTTGAATTGTATGAGCCTACTATAGGATGAAATATGGTTATAATGTCGAGCAGAAGCTATTAGCATTTCTTAAGCTGACCACCTGTGTTGTGCACACTATTAGGTCCTCAGCAGATGAGTTCTTACCGGGTGTTTGATGTTTTCCCCCCACTTATCAGAAGAGGAAGTCGGTGAAGTACGGTTGGGCATATTAAAACCACATTCAGCCTACAACACCACAGAAACACTTACCCTTTGACCCAGCAATTCTGCTTCTAGGAATCCTTCCAGAAGATAGACCTCCAACAATGTGAAAATACATTCGGAATAACCTAAATATCCATATGCAGGAGAGGGTTGAGTAAACTCTAGTACAGCCACACAACCACATCCACTGTTGAGGATGACCTCTGTGAATTGGTTTGAGGTGGTTTCCAGGGCACGTGGATGTGAATGAGGCAAGTACCAAAGAACATCTAAATGCTGCCCTTGATGTGAGAAGAAGGGGATGCAGGAAGACACACGCTCCCTGCACACTTGTGCAGAGGAGATACAGGAGGGCAGAGCCAGAAACAAAAGAGATGGTGACTGCAGAGGGCCAGGGGACGGAGGAGGAGTGGGTGCCAGGTCATAGGTGGGGTGCAGAGGGCGAGGGGGCAGGGAAGTGGAGTGGGTGCCAGGTCATAGGTGGGGTGCAGTGCTGCTCTCAGTACACCTTTTAGTGTGGCCCAGCTCTTGAAACCACAGCAATACTTCATATACTCCAAAGTAAAATAGATGGTTAATATCAGCCAGGATGTGGGGGACCCAAAATGAAATATAAGCGGAAAACACACATCTCACTGTAGTACAAAGCGGCAGGGCCACAGCAAAGGGGGTGGAAAGGAAAGTGTTAACCTTATTTGGGAAAATGATAATGTTGACTGGATTCTGTGAGGCTGAAGAGAACTGTACAAAATAGTAGTAAATTTTTTTCTCAGTGTTAATGGTGAGCAATGTGAAACGACTTTATGTGTATGTGGGGATTGAACAAATAAGCAGAATCGTAGTGGATAATGAGAGCCAGGTTTCTCACTGTCCCAGGAAGAAGTTACAAATAGCAAAAGGAAGATGGCAGAGGGAGGCCGTGCTGTTGGATTGGGATAGGTGTCAGTGTGACTCTGTGGTCTTTAATAGATGCATGTACAGCACAGGAGTAAACATAGGTGTACGCGTTACATGCATGGGTTAGTGATACACCTACATATGCATCTCCTAGCCTTGTCCGTTGGGAAGACCTAGAAGCAATGACCTCCAGCAACAGGGAGCACACCTAAATATCAGTTGCTGATAAAAATAAGCAGGGCTCCTTGCAGAAGATGAGTCTGGAACCTCTGATGATGCTGGAAATAAGGAAGTGGCCAAAATGGATGGGGTGTGTCAGAGGGCACATAAGCAACCTGGAGGAGCCCCATGGCCAAAGCGGGTCAATTTGAGCAAGGAAATGAGTAATGATAGTATAGGTGTATAATCTATAAAACAAAGTCAGTATCACTACTGATACTTCTTATATTGATATAAGAAGAAATTGAAAAAATAAGGAGAAGGGACATCTCTTCCTGACAGAAACATTCCAATTAATTGGTGTAGGAGCAGTGAGAAAATAGAAAATCGCCTTCAGGCGGCACTATGGAAATAGTTACTTCAGGTGAGTTCCGCGGGAGGATGCTGATTAGTGGGCCAGAGTTTGGAGAGAAACAGGATATTTGCCTAGTCTCGAAGTATCTCTTCCTCAAGTTATTTATTTATTAAAAAGGGAAAAATAGTAACTTTAGAATGGAGGAAGCCAGCAGACACCACGTCACCTGGGCGATCAAGATCAGCATCATCTGATGAGACAAGTTGCATCATATGCCGCCCCACACCACATGGCATGTGCTCTGTCAGGGACTCCTGCCACAAATGCACAATCACAGTCTAGTCATGGAGAAATGTCAGACGCTCCAGTAGAGGGACGTCCTGCAAAATACCTCACCTCATCAGTGTTCCTCAGAAGTGTCCAGGTCATGAACACTGGAAACACCGAGGATTGGTCTAAGCTTAGAGACCTGATGACTAACTGTGGCCTGTGATTCTGGGCAGAATCCTGGAACAGAAGCCGGTATTGGTGGAGAAACCACCGAAATTCAGATGAGGTCTGTGGTGTAGCCAATTGTATTGTGCCAGTGTTTATTTTCTGATTTCGATATATCCTTCTCCCAGCTCACAACATACAGGTCTGTGATTGATACATACTTCTCCTCATGCTCACAACTTACAAATCTATGATTTTAGAGGAAGCTGGGAGAAGGACATAGGGGAATTATCTGTACTATTTTTCAGCCTTCCCATAAGCCTAAAATTTCAACATAAAAAGTTGAAAAAGAAACCCATGGCAGAATATGATGGGAGAATGGCAGAAATGGCAGGACCAGCCCCTGTCTCTGTTTCTTCCCATGTGAAGCTGTTTACCTGGTTTATCTTGGTCTTTGGATTTGGTCGATTTTTTTTTTCTAAAAAGAAATTTTAAATATAGTCAAATTTATCAGTTTTTTTCCTTTATGGCTTTTGGGTTTTGAATCCTAAGAATACTTTCCCTACTACAATACTCATATTTTTCTTTAATTTCTTCTAATAGTTTTATATTTTGTTTTTCACATTTAGCATATTGATCTATATGAAATTTGTTTTTGTACAGTTTGAAGTTGGGATATTTTTTCAATTGGCTAATCATTTGCCTTTGTCATTGAGTAGTCTGCCCTTTGCCCAGTTATCAGAAATATCACCTTTATCACTACTAAATGTTTTCTTTCAATGATATTTCAAATTGCTTATTATTCTTGTGTGATAAAGTGATTGGTTTTTGTATGTTGTGTCCACAGCTTGTCATTTGTGTCTCATGTTTTCTAGATGGAGGATCCTTTTGGGAACATGCGTCTTCCTTTCTAAGCTTTGTACTTCCCCTGTATTAATTGGCTAGGACTTCTGGTACTGTGCTGAGTGTAGTGTTTGGATCATAGTGATGGCTAGCAGGCTGCATCTCGTTGTTGTCTTTGACGTGAATGCTTCCAGTATTTCATCCTTAAGTGTGACATTACTCTAGTTGTTTTGTACATACCCTTTATCTTGTCTAGCATGTTACCTTCTCTTCCTGGTTTGTCCAAAATAATCTTTATCATGAGTGGCAGTAGAATTTTACCATATGTGCGTCTGTTGAAATGATCACGTGGTTTTCCCTCCAGTCTGTTAATATAGCAAATTTCATTAATAGATTTCCTGATATTAAACATTCCTGCATTCTGGGGAAAATCCTGTTTTTAACACAGTGCAAAATTAAAATTGCTATTTATTTTAATACCTTCTATTTTTTCAAAATGAGTCTCTCCCCAGCCCTACCCCTAGTCTTTTCATTTTTTTCATGTAGTTTACATGCTGTAGTAGCTACATAGTGGTATAAGTGCTTAACACCTGGCTTTTGGTGGGAAGGAGGAGTGGGAGTGTATGGAAACCCCTGATTTGTAGCATTTGCCAATTTCCAAGTTATAAATGTCCCTACCGTGCCCTATTTCAAGCTACCGATGAGCTGTCAACTGGTTTACAAAATTCCTGAAAATGTGACAGTCTTCTCTCATGAACAGGTATAAGTATACCAGTGGGGCCTGAGTGTGCAGCCTGGTGACTCTCATATCTGTGTGCACTCACACAACCATCACTGGGATCAACCCGGAGGCTTCCTGGTACCTGTGCAGCTCAGCACTCCTACCCTCCCCAGGAGGACCCCGGTTCTGACCTCTCTCCACCTTTGTTCTCACTTGGGGATTGAATACCTTGTTTATTTTCACGTCATCCTTGTTTTCTCTTCTGTGCACATGCAGCTCTACGTTTTCCCCCCAAGAACTGCCTTGGCCACCTCATTTGTAGATAGCGAAATGCAGGGTTTGTAATGATTTTTATTGAAAAATTGAGCATCTGATTATTATTGTGGCACTGGCTTTATTAAACAATGTAGGTTCTGTGATAACCTTTCTTAAATGTTGGGCATTGCTGCCATGTTATATTCATGAAGTTCATCAACTTCATATAAACTGACATTTTTCATTCATGTGTTTATGCAGTCATTGAATAAATATTTTTTGAGCACTTTGGATACCAAAGGTTTAGCAGTGAATGAAATAACTCAGTCCCTTTCTTCACAGAGCATATGTTCTGCTATGTCTTTAAGTCACGTGTTTTTTCTATTTGACCGTCCTTGCCAATTTTCCCCTAACTCAGACATCCACTTGTCTTTGCCCCTGGTATTATCTTAAATCAACTCTAAATCAATCCGATTTCTTCCACTGCTTCAATGCTAGTTGACGTTTGGCTTAACTGCTTATATAATTATTTCTGCTTTTATTGAATTCTTATGATGAAAAAACAGAAGACTTGAATCTGATGATTTTTACTTTAGAAAGGTTAATGATGAAAGTGTTGTAATACTACAGTTTGGTGAAATGGCACTTTTTGTGTTGTGTGAACTGTCATCACTTAATGAGGAGCAGGAGATCAGCTTACAGTTTTCTGCTATAGTTCTGGACATCATGAGACCTTATTCCCCACCAGCATGATCTCTGTCTATGGCTCAGAGGGAGAGCAATAGGGATATGGGGTGCTATTCACAGCCTTGCCTGGGTGACTGTGTCTTCTGGCAGCTTAGTGGCTCCCAGGGGCAGGATCCTGGTCACCAGCATCCTACAGCATTGCCACATGTTTGCTCATGCTCTGGTGTCCTGTGGAGTAGAGCTCCTTGTTCTCCTGTGGACCACAGTCCAGGGAGAGTGGGGGTTTCCCTGTAGGAGGAGGAGCTGGAAGACTCCAGATCGAGTTTAACCGTGGGCTAGGCTGCGAAATTTGGATGCAGGCCAGTGGACCTCAGAAATCCATCTGTTCATCTTTCTGCTAAACTGATTTGGATTTCTGCTTTTTTAATCCTTTGCAAAATTAATTTGTCTTTAATATGAAAATCAGTGTTTTATTTTTAGTAAGAGAAAATAATTCTATTTTATTTATTTGGAACAATTTAAAAGACCCTAGAGATCAACATCCTTCCTCTTTCATTTCCTAGAGGAGGGTGTAGAGGAGCAGAGTGTGTGACAGGCACAGTGGGACTGACCTTTGCTTCTGGGCCTGGATTACCATGTCTGGAGAGTGATGCTTTGGAGGAAGTATGGGTCACTTCGCTCCTGGGCCGTCGGTTCAGAAGGTGCAGCCTTGCCCGGAGCTGAGGTCCAGTGCTAGCAGCACATTCCCTTTCCTTGCCCTGAGCCTGCATGGCAGCCTTCTTCATCAACTGGAATCTCTGTTGAGGATGGAGAAAAATCTGTGGTCCTTTTGTTTACTGGGTGACTTTCTGACCTCTCTCTCTTCTCATTCTCTCTACTGCATTACAACTGTTTGATGAGAGAGATTTTAAAAATGAACATAAACAATTTTTATGGAAATATCTGTTATCTATTTTTTTTATATAGTTATACCATTGGAATTTACTCTTACCTTCAGGTAACAGTTGTGAGGACCAAATCTTAATCCTGGTAGGTGACCTTTAAATCTTAGAATCAGGAATTCGGCTTTAGTCAAAAGTTAACTTTTTCCTTATTATTGTTCTCCTGTTGGATTTTTAAAAATGGATACATTCTATTTATTGGTATTTACAAGTCACTTGACTAGACTGATACTAATAGTATGACACAGGAAAAACAAAAACATCTTTCTGTAAATTTTGAAGTAATGAACAATATTAGGGATTATTCCAAAACAGAGCAGACAAGGCAGAGGAAAACCAGTCAAGCTCTTTATAGCTTAAATCTAACCCTTTACCTGAATAATAATTTAAAAAACTATTTTATAAATCAAGCCTCCCATTCCTGTAAAATAGGAGTAATTCATTATCACACATTTTTGTACCTTTAATTTTTTTTTTTCTTGATGGAGCCCAAGTCTTAAAGATGTCAAAACTAGTATCATGTTCCATTTTCTAAAGTCGAGGCTATCTCAGTCCCATTTCTATAGCCAACAGGGTAATCTGTTACTAGGCCCTGAAACCCTTCTGATGAGTCTCAGCTTATACCCCACCCCACCCCCAAATATTCACACAATAGGCACAGTGAAAACCAGGAAATTAGTCTCTGAAATAAGCAGCCTCCCCAGGAAGGAAGCAGCATGGCCACTGCCCATTCTGTGCCTGGACCTCGCCCCACCGGCACTTGGCTTCAGGAACTGGACTGATCCAGGCACTTTGCTGGGGTGCACTTTGGCTTTTCTCACCAGTTCCCAGGGCAGCCTCGGGTAGGAGTCTCGGGTAGGAGAGTGTTGGAGGCCCTAGATCTGGGGCTACAGGGACTTTTCTCACAACTCCAGGCGAGGGCACACCGGGCTTGGCTCTTCTAGGTCTGGCGACTGCTCCCATTGGCAGGTTTCCACAGGCCTCTGCCTGACGTCCTTGACAAGAGGAAGAGAGGACCCGGCTTTCTGTGGGTGCCGAGCCCTCTGGGCCACACAGCTGCTGTTCTCTGACTTGTGGGTTTTTCTGCCGCCTCTTGCGTTTCATGCTGTGACTCTGGAACTAGGTCTTACCCTGTTTGGAGTGAAGGTTCGGGGTGTTGGGAAGTTCTGTCCTCTTCTCTCAGGAAGAGGCCCTTTGACTGTGTGCCCGGAGGAGGCATGGGTGCATCTTTTCTCCAGGGGGCTCCTCACCAGGGGTATGGGGAGACTGTGCTGCAGCCTCAGGAATGTCAGGGTGAAGAGGCCCTGGAGGCTGATGCTTCCGGCCAAGGGCTTCTTCTGGATTTTCAGATAAAGTCCCAGAACAGAATTACTTTATGTTTTAATTTCAGGCAAATGTCTCTCATCTGCCCTTTTAAGTACATTAGGATTGGGTTTTTCGACCCTGCACAGCACATGGGGGCTCCTCAGAGAAGTGTCTGAAAAAATAAAATTAAATAACTCGCTTTTTAGCACTTCGTTTTTACTGGTGATTTGTTAGTCATTGATTGAGGTGATTGTGATTGATCCAATTATTTGTCTGCCCATCCTGATTATAACTTTTTTTATTTACAGGATTTTAAAAGATAGTTTCTTGATCTTAATGTTATATTTAATGTTCTCTTTCATAAGATGGTTTTTTGATGACTTTGTGTTTAAAAAGTGAGGGTCTTTTGAGAAATAGAATATATCAAATTATTTGTTCAGAAACATTCAAAAGCATTTTTTCCAACTCTGCAAGCAGTTGTCTGTTAAAGCAATTAGCGTGTACCCAATTAGAGCTCTGTTCAAGATCCCTCACTGATAACCTCTGTGAGGCTGTTGGTCCGTGTCTTTATCAAGCAGTAGTGTGGCTTCCCAGGTACTGTCAGCTCATTTTGGACCCAATACTAGTTTATTGCCTGAAATTACCTTTAAACTGGAAAATCTTCAAGTAAAATTTTTGAGAGTTTTTGATTAATCCCCTAGGATACTTTTGAATGATAGGTTTTGGGGAGATACATTTGGTTGTTTTGGCACCACTACCATCAGCCTCACTCACGTGCTGCCAGGCGCCCCGCCAGATCAGGGAACATCCTCTGTACATGGAAGCAGCCCCGAGCACTATGTCTGCTTGTGTTTCTGCTCTCAAGGTTTCTACGGCCCTGCACGTGGGCCCTGCTGAGGCCCCAGACTGCTTCCTCACACAGCTGACCTGGTGGGCTTCCTGTCCACACAGCTGCCCTTCCTGTCCTCCCATCCAACCTCTCGCATCATGTTGAGGGGAGAGAGGGGGGCAAATGAGACATGGTCCTTGCTTTCATGGAAATTTCTAGTGATGCAGATGTCTGTATATCAAGTACTCACACAAGCAGATGTAAAGTCATAACTGTGATGAAGGAAGACCAATTGAGGACCTCCATCAGCCGAGGGGCCTGGACGCTCACTGAGAGGCGAGGTTTGCACTCAGTCTCCTTGCCCAAAGCTGGCAGCCTCATTCTGCTGCCCATGTGCTGGGCACCTTCTCCACTATCACGACTTCCTTGACATTTCAGTCTGTTCTGTTCAAGTTTTGGCCTTCCATCCCTCTGAAATGGGTCTTGCTAGTCACTAATGATCTGTCTCTTGTTAAGGTCAGTGGCCTGTATTTCGTCCTGGTCTCAATCAGTGTCTCAACAGGACTGTACAGAACTAGCCAACCTCTTGGATTCCGTGGGCAGTGCCACCCTGGCATCCTTCTGGCTCAGTCTTCTGTGCAGGTCCCCCAGTCACCAGGAGCCCTGCAGGTGCAGCCTACCTGCCCCCAGCCCAGGCTGCGCTCCCTGCTTGCTCTGCGTGTGATGCTCCGGCCTTTGCCGTGAGCTCTGACACAGTGCAGCACAGACCTGCTTGAGCTCTGGATCCCCTCCCCAGGCTCCTGTCCATCCTGCCCCCTTTCAGCTTCCTGCAGTGACCATTGCCTGGAACTCAACCCAGTGTTTTTTCTCTGCCCCCTTTTTCTGTTAGCTCTTCCCCCAGTGGTGTGGGGCTGGGACAGGGGCCTCACATTGTCGTCCACGTTTCCCGAGGCTTCTGTCTCTCCATCCCGCTGTTTCAGGGTTCTGCATCCTGCTGTTTCAGGGTTCTGCATCCCGCTGTTTCAGGGTTCTGCATCCCGCTGTTTCAGGGTGCACGTTTCCTTCTCGGGCTTGGCTCCTTGGGTCATGTCTCCAGCCTGACGTTCCAGCTGAGAGGTGGTGAGGCAGGAAGGGGTGTCTCTGCATCAGGAAAGCGATAAGGAGTTCAGGAAACCCAGTGTCTCTCATTGGCTGGAAGAGTATTACACGGCTACCTCTGGTTGCCCAGATGCCTGGGGCAGGGTCTGTGCTCGAGAAAATAAGGCTCTGTGAGTAAGGGTCTCCCACAGCCAGATCAACAAGGAGCTGTAGGCTGTAAGTCCTGGTTCCTGACTGAGGGAGGCCTAAAAAGTGGGGCTGTTGGGGCTTTATATTTAGCACCCACTTTTTACCCTCTCAAATTCCAGACCAGTTGAGAGAGCCGCACACACTGTAGATAGGCAAGTGGAGATCAGATACAGGCTCTGTTTTAGATAAAAGCAACTGGAGAAAGTGGCTGACTGGCCAAGCGGGTTTGCTAATCCTTTATCCCAAATTAGACAAACTTCCCACCTAGTAACGAGCATGGCTGGGGGCAAGCCCCTTCCACGTGGCAGGAGAAGAAACCCTAGCACTTTGGTGTGGGTGCGCCTAGCCCAAGAGGAGAGGAGGACCGGCTGGGCTAAGCAGCCCATTTCCTCCTTCTAGATGCCTCCTTCTGCAGGAAAGAGTGCGTGAGTTGGATTCTGTCCACAGGGAACAGAAGCGCAAGGGACAAGTGCCCCCTCTGCTCTGAGGAAGGGTTTTGCATATCTCCTGTTGGAAGTCTGGAAGCTGGGCAGTCTCGCTCCCTGCACCAGCTGTGCCGGCCCTGCCTGTCTTCCTGCAGGTCTGGGCTGGCTGCTGTGGGCCTGTGTCCTCAACACTGCCCTGCCCTGAGGCTGTTGGAGGGACAGCCCCAGTGCTCCCCCTTCATCATCCACTCTCCTTTCCCTTTAGTGTTTCTATCTCTGGATTTGTTTCTGGTGAGCCTTCCCTCCAGAAGGAACTGCTCTTGTCCCCATGTACTTCCTCGAGGCCTCCCTGGTCGTTCCTAGGGGCGATCATACTATAGAAAGAACCCATCATTGTCACCCAGAAGTGCTCCTGAGAGATGAGGGAACCTCTGGGGAAGCCAGCTTGGGCTTCGGGAGGAATTTTCTCCTCTCTTTATTTTTATTTTATTTTTTTGAGACAGAGTCTGTCTCTGTCGCCCAGGCGGTGCAGTGGCACTGCCAGCTCTGCCTCCCGGGTTCACACCATTCTCCTGCCTCAGCCTCCTGAGTAGCTGGAACCACAGGCGCCTGCCACCACGCCCGGCTAATTTTTTGTATTTTTAGTAGAGACGGGGTTTCACCGTGTTAGTCAGGATGGTCTCGATCTCCTGACCTTGTGATCCACCCACCTTGGCCTCCCAAAGTGCTAGGATTACAGGTGTGAGCCACTGCGCCCAGCCTTTCTCCTCTTTTTAAATGTTCTCAAGTAGCTTCCTCTTCAAGTCCGGTTTCTTTTTCTTGTTTTCTGCTGGGAACTAGATGTAGTTCCCCTCCTTCCTCAGCAGCACCCTTTAGGTACGAGATGGGTGGGGTTGGCCCTTTCCATTCTTTAAGGAGAGTATTTTCCACTGTGAGATGGTCACATACCTTCTCTTTGGTAACAGGACAAAAGAGCAAATGCTGGAAAAACTAAGCTTATGAGCTTTGGGGAAGCCTGGTGTGCAAATGAGGGAGGCTAACATGATTTTCGGGCTACTGGATTGGTGCTCACTCCCAATTTGAAAACTAGTCAGGAGATACCGAGGCCCTGTGTGATGTGGTACAAAGTATAAGGCGTTGGCCATGGTAGAGAATCATGATTTTTTTTTTTTTTTCTGGAGGTGGGAAGCCATTGTGGTTGGGGGCATGAACTCAGAGTTGTGCCGTGGAAGGGTCCCTGTGGCAGGAGAACAGGTGGAGAGCAGACGCCGAGGGGCCGCTGTCCAGGCAGGAGTGATGGAGCATGGCTGGTGGGGACTTCAGACACATGTGCAAGGTTCTGAGGATGCCTGGGTGCTGGCCATGTGGCAAGGTGGAAGGCAGTGCCTATGACTGGACAGCTGGGAGGGAGCCCACTGTGGTGATGGGGAGGGTAGACTAGCAGGTCTGTTTGGGTATGCTGACTTGGGGGCACTCAAGGGGAGCTGTCAGGGAGGCCATTGGGTGGAAGCAATTCCAGAGACAAACCGCTGCTCCCTAAAGGAAAAGGAGAGTGCCTTTGCCTTTCAACCTGAGCTCCATGTGGTCCTCTGGCCCAGCCTGCTAGGCAGCCTCGCCCTGCTCCCCACTGATGTCACACAGGTGTCACAAAATGAACATCTGAAACCAGAGCTTCATTTTCCTAAATTTCCTAGCCTTTCTCCTTACAGTGAACGTCACCAACACCCACCCAGCTGCTGGAAACCTGGCAGTCATCCTAGCCACCTCGCTTTCCCTCACCGTCACACCCAGTCCCCTCAAACATTTGTGCCTGCTGTCCCTGCGTTCGCTTCCCACCCGGGTGCTTGCCTTTCCACGTCTCCCTGCTGTCCAGCAGCTGGCAAGTCATTCCTGCCCTGTGCTTGCAGGCTCCACGGACCCACCAGGGCATCTGGAATACAACTGTGACTTCCTCCTCACCCCACGGCTGTGCTTGACCCGGCTCCCATCTGTCTCCAGATCCCTTGGAGCACTCTCCCAGGTCTGCTGCAGGCCCATGGCCTCCTCCCTTGGACCACTCTCCCCGTCTCTGTCTAGGGGCTGCTCACAGCTTCCTAGAAGTTTCTTGCCTGGGCTTTGCTTATTCCCAGCTGGTGGCTTTCCATCTGTGCTCTTCCTCTGCTGACGGCCCCTTCTGCCCCAGCTCATTATATGACCGTTGTCTCCCATCCCGTCCTGACCTGCCTGTTTATGGAGGCATCCTCTAGGTTCTCAGTGGAGGGTGCCTGGCCCCTGGAACAAAACTGTTGAGTTTGAATCATCCCCACCCTGCCTCTTCCTAGCTGCAGTGCTGGGCCTCAGTTTCCCTATGTGCAAAATGGGGACACTCAAACCTGCCTCATTCCCGTGAGGATTACATGATTAGGTAAAGTGTTCGTGGCAGTGTGGGGGATGGCGAGTGCTAGGCAGGAGCTGGAGGCTGTTCTCTTTGGGCTATTTGCACACATATGCTCTTAGCCTCCTTTCGAGCACTTTCCTCAGCCTTCAATCTTGTGTATATTTGTGTGTGTTTCTCTTTTAGGAGAGAGACTTCTCTGGCATTGACTGGACAACTGTCAGAGCTTATCCTTGACCTGAGCTCACTGCCTCTGCCTCAGAATTGGGGGTCAGGTTATTCTTAGTATTCTAGGTTTATAAGGCCAGACAGAGTCCTTCTTCCCTGTAGAGCAGAAATGACCCCTAATATAGGAGCATATTGTTTTCCCTCAGCAGAGCAAATGCTTCAGTAGTAGTGTTACCAGCAGACAGATGGCGCTTTAGAGGTGACATGTGATAGATGCTTGGGACTGAAATTTAGCCGTGGATCATAGCCTGAATGGGATTTTCACGCATGTCTTCCCTCTCAGGATTTCTCTTAAGGGTTGTTGATTCCACATTTCTCCTTGAGGAGGGGGTGGTGGTAGGGCTGGTGACCGGGGAACTGTAATTTCCTGTGGGAGAGCAGCAATTTCATTATTCCTTTAATGAAGCTATAGTTGATCATCCTTCAGTGCCTAGTATACAGCCTGTTAAATTAGGGTCTTCGGATTGCTCTGCAAGCCTTTTTAAAAAAATAATTTACAGGCTGGGCGCGGTGGGTGGCTCACGCCTGTAATCCCAGCGCTTTGGGAGGCCGAGGCGGGTGGATCACTTGAGGTCAGGAGTTTGAGACCAGCCTGGCCAACATGGTGAAACCCTATCTCTACTAAAAGTACAAAAAAAATTAGCTGGGTGTGGTGGCGCACACCTGTGATCCCAGCGAGCAGGAGGCTGATACATGAGAATCACTTGAACCTTGGGAGGGGACCACTCCAGCCTGGGTGACAGAGCGAGACTCTGTCTCAAAAAAATAAAAAATAAAAATTTACAATTTATGTTAAAATATGTCATTTTAAGTTATGTAAATCCAAGCATAATTACTGAACACAAGGCTCAATCCAAAACATGCACAGTAAGCCCGTGTGAAGTGTTCACATGCTGTTCTGAGGCTGGCTGGATCTGGAGTTTCTGGGAGTGCTCTCTTGGGCTGGCACGTCTTGGGCTGTGGGGGCCCTGAAGCCCTCCTAGATGCTGGACATTGGTGTGTGTGCAACTTGGTGGTGGTGTTGGGGTTACTTTCCAGAAGCTACTCAAGGCTTAGTCTCAGTTTCTATCTAAAGATATTTATATGGGAAGTATTCCAAATGTGGATTTATAAAGATAACACATGGATAGAAATAGTGTAAAACTTGTGTGAACTGAACCAGCCAAGCTTCTAGTCTTCCCTTTCCAAAACTTTCCTTTTTCTCCCCCCGTGTTAAAGATTTAAAAATATATGTTTAAAAAGGTCACTTTTAACTTGTAAAAATTATTCAACATATACAGAAATTTAAAAAGCAGCATTGCAGGTTATGTGAGATTATGTATGTCTGCTCTTTGGAACTAGGTTGAAATGATAGCTACAAGGTTCTTTGGAAGAATGGGGATGTGTGGGTGAGAGTGGAGTAGACAGGCTGGGCTTACTAACTAGGCTTGCACTGGCCCCCGTCAGTCACTGTTCCCAAGTCAAATACTGCATTGCACTGAACACCAGAGCAGCAGTGCATTTCCTAGAGAACTCTGCAAGGCTACAGGTGGCAGACTTAGGGAGCGCTTGCCATCCCTGCCCTTCCCAGCTCTACCCAGAACAAGGAGGCCTCGCACACTACCTGGTCATATTTTGACTTCATGCATTTAATGAACCAAACTAAAGGTAAATATTTTCTTTTGATTCCCAAGGCAGACTTGTGGGTACCCAAGTTCCTCAGCCCATCTTTAACTCAGTAGGATGTGGCATCTCCATTGAGGCTCTTCATGGAATCCCTGGAGGTGAAACCTCGGTGTCCGGTTGCTCCAAACCAGTGCTGGTGGGATTCAGTTTTCTGGACCCATTTCTGGGTGAAGTCAAGGAATGGAGGCGGGCGGCTGTCAAGCGTCTCTGTTGCTCAATGGGGCAGGCCAGTCCCAGCGGCGACTTAGAGGTGGCTGGCTGGGCGTCCCTACAGGAGAATGGGCCACAGGGCCAGCGGGGCCAGCAGGATGAGCAGGCCTGGTTTGGGGTATGGGCCGCAGGCGTGGAGCTCGATGCTGGGCAGGGGCCTGCTCACTGACGAGTTGCCACCCGGGATTGGGGTAGGGGTGGGCGCGGTGGTCTCGGGCTCTGAGCGGCTCTGCACCGGCAGGAGCAGGACTGGCAGCAGCAGCAGCAGCGCCAGTGCGGATCGGGCCGCCATGGCCAAGCGCTCCGGCTCGTCCCGTAGCAGTGCCGCGGCGGCGGCCGCTGCCGGGAGTGTCTGTTCCGCGGTTACGCGGGGTCCTCTCCGGTCCTGTCCAGTGAGGTCCTGACAGCTGTACCCTGGCCCAACCCCTGCCCACGGCTGTTAACGATCAGCCTCGGGGAGCAGGTGTGCCGCCACGCGCGCCGTAGCGCTCCGGAGCTGGCTCTGCGCTCACGTGCTCGCTGTGCCCTGCGCGCGGGCGGGCCGTGTCCCCGCAGCCCCGCGCCTGGCGCTGCCAAGCTGCCCAGCGGGCTTTAGCAGGTGCTGAAATGCCCGCTGCCAGTCGCCGAGTGCTGGGTGCAGAGGATCTCTCCAGACACCTAGGCTCCCTTCTTTCGCGGCACGTGGGAAAAACTCCTGAAGTGCGTGCACAGAGTTTTTGTTTTAGAGGCTTTGACGTTATGATTAAGTATACCTGTGATGTAACGAAAACCTTTTTTAATGCTTCTCAAAAGATTTGCTAGCGTTTAACATTTACCTCCTGTACTGGAGTTTAAAGGAAGCGTTGCTTCTTAAGTAATCAGTGATCCTTTTGCTTTTGGAAATTGTAATGAACTTCACCATCGTAGAGCTTTAATATTTCTTTCCTGAAGCAGAAAGCATGTGAAATTTTCTGGATAGTGTATACTTAATACACAAGCTTTTGGAGTTTTTGAATGCTGGGTATGTTAGCACACCAGTCTTGCTGACTATTACGTGGGAGATGAGTGCTGCTTAAAATTGTGTAAGGGGTCAGTAGTTACAGTGGTGGACATACTTTTGCCAGACATGGTTTATTTTAAAGTGAACATATTTTGTGCTTATTTATTTATTTGGGACAGGGTCTCACTCTGTTACTCAGGCTGGAGTGCAGTGGTAATCATGGTTCACTGCAGCCTCAACTTCCAGGCTCAAGTGATCCTCCCACCTCAGCCTCCTGAGTAGCTGGGACTGTGGGGCTACAGGCGCACTACCACACCCAGCTAACTTTTTTTATTTTTTGTAGAGACGGAGTCTTGCTGTGTTGCCCAGGCTAGACTTGAACTCCTGGCGTCAAGCGATCCTCCCTCTTCGGCCTCCCAAGTTGCTGGGATTACAGATGTGAGCCACCATGCCTGGCCAATGTGCTTATTTTAATTCTAAATCAGAATTTCTATAATTATCTTCCTTACCTTGGTGTCTGTCTGTTATCAGCACAAGGGTTTAAAATAATTTTTGATTTCTTGGAAGTAATTACGCAGGCAGTTCAATGGGAGAAGGCACTTTCCTCAGCACATTTGGGGTGCTGTTGTCAGAAAGAAGGGGATGGATTCAAGTCAGCAAAACCAGCTGTAACCACAACTATATTTTTTAAACATGTAGCTGCATGTTCCATAAAACAGCATATAAAAAATAGAGTGAGCATTCTTTATTGGAGAAATAGCTGATTCTAGGACTGGGCAGGAAATAACACAAGTGCCAGGAATGCCAAGGAAATGGCAAGGAAATGCCGAGAAACAAACATAACCACACCCACATCAATGGGTGGTGTCAAAGGGACCCAGGAGCCAACTGAAAGAGCTCCCAGTGGCCAAAGCTGGAACAGTTTCTACAACAAAACAAAGTAGTATTGGATTATAGCCCAGAGATAAATAAATATCCATGAGTCCAGACTGACATAAATAAATGACTGATAAATGAGGAGAAAAGACAAAGCTCCTTTTCCAGCACAATTCCAGATCATCTCTGCATCTGCTGTATCTGCTGTGTCTTCCAGGAGGTGGAGCACAACCCTTACCCCAAGGCAAGGGCTGTGCAGAGCAACTTCCTTCCAGAGAGGACAGCATGGAAGTGGGGCGGGGGGCTCAACCCAGCAGGGGCCAGGTCAGCCTCACAGTGGTCAGTCACGGTGACAGGGTGTGCCTGATACAGTGGAGTGACAGTGGGCCTTCACCTCTGGGGGCTTCATCCCCAAACTCAGTCCCTTCCTGTACCATGAGAAAAACATCAGACAGATCCCAGCTGAGGGACAGCTTCCTCAACAGTCAAAAACCAAGAAGAGTCTGAGAAACTCACAGCCAAGAGGGGCCTAGGGAGCCATGACATCTCAATGTCACGTGGGATCCTGGACGACTGAATCTGACGAAAGTGTGGATTTCAGTTAATAACAATGTGTTAATTAATACTGGTCCGTTAAACCAGCAGTCCTCAACCTTTTTGGCACCAGGGACTGGTGACAATTTTTCCATGGGCCGAGGTGGGGGCTGGGAGAATGGTTTGGGGATGATTCCAGCGCGTTACATTTATTGTGCATTTTCTTTCCATGATTACATTGTAATATATAATGAAATAATCATACAACTCAGCATCATGTAGAATCAGTGGGAGCCCTGAGCTTGTTTTCCTGCAACTAGATGGTCCCATCGGGGGTAAGGGGAGACAGTGGCAGATCATCAGACATTGGATTCTTATAAGGAATGTGCAACCTAGACCCCTCACATGCGCAGTTCACAATAGGGTTCCAGTCCTGTGAGAATCTAATGCTGCCACTGATCTGACAGAATCAGTGCAAGAACTGATTCTCTGAAGCCCAGTTCCTAACAGGTCATGGACTGTTACTTGTCCATGGCCCAGGGGTTGGGACTCCTGTATTAAACCATGCTCATGTAAGATCTTAATAATAGAAAATGGGTGTGGGGTCTGTGGGGCCTTTCTGTCACATCTGCTCAATTTTTCTTCAAATCTAAAATTGTTCTAAAAATAACGTTTACTTTAAAAATAAGTGTTTTTTCAAAAACACTTTTTTGTGTCCTTATCTTCTGCTCCAAATAAATAATTATCCTGACTTTTGTGTAAGTGGTTCCACTAGTTTTCTTTGATTTCTTAACTCTGTCTGTTACCCTTACACAGTATATCCTTTGGTTTTGAAAACCGAGTAGTCAGGGCACACTTATCGAACCAGGCCCCAGGGGTCAGTGACGGTTGATCTCCAAGGGGTTCACTTTTGGGGAGGGGGGTCCCTCCTGGAGCAGTGCGTTCAGCTAGCTCGTATACTTTTTCACAAGTGTGTTCTGTTCCCTTCAGCGGGGTAGGCCTGCTACCCTCTCCTTCCACTTGGGCTTCCCCTTTCTTGTCTGTCTCCTTGTGCCTGGCAGCCTTGGGTATCTGTGATATGGCTGTGGTTAGTTTTGGTGCAGTGGGATATATTTATGTGCTGCAGTCACTTCTGTGAAGAGTTAGGTGCTGTCCGGGTGCTGTCAGCTTGGATTCCGGAGTTGTCCTGTGCAGTGGAGGCTGTAAAGGAGCATTGTCAGGGAAGAGAGGCTGTTGCTACTGTACCCATTTGACTGGGGACTCCTGGGATAGAGTGAGTTCCAAGAAAGAGCAGGGAAGAATTGGGTCAGTGGAGACACAGTGGGGGTCAGGGCATGGACAGGCCGTGCTGCAGCTTGGAGATACAAAGAATGAGGGACGAACCCAGAACTGGAGGTGTTTCTCAAGAACAGAATCTTCAAAGGTTGAGATGAAACTCCCATCATACTTACTAGCAATAACCTCTAGCAAAGTTGAGGTGGTCTGTTTTGGCTAAATAAAATGGACATAGCATTGCTGGGCCCCTGTGAAGGGCTGGAAGCAGGGAAATGTCAGCAGTGGCAAGCGTGCCCTCTGGGGAGTAGGGAATTTCCCTGGCGCTGGCAGGCAGCCCATGCTGCCGTAGATGTTTCCTGCTGTCCTGGGTGGCCTCACACAGAGCAGCTCCACACCTGCTCTTTGAAGTTTTCTTGGGGTGCCTGCTGGCTACAAGGGGTCTAGATGTTTATGACACTGATATAAAGTCTCTGTGCTTCCCTTGGGGAAATGCTCCCAAGTATGAAGCACCCAGGTTCTGAGAACAGAGTTGGATAAAAAGGTTGAGTTGGAGAAACTTACCTAACAGGGTTAAAGTGGAGACAAGGATGGCATGTGAAGCTTTGGCTTTACTTCCCAGGTGATTTTTCTGTTACGCTTAGCATGCATCGTTGCTGCTTCGTTGTTTTGTTTTGTTTTGTTTTGTTTTGTTTTGTTTTTTTAGATGGAGTCTGGCACTGTCACCCAGGCTGGAGAGCAGTGGCATGATCTTGGCTCACCAAAACCTCTACCTCCTGGGGTCAAGCAATTCTCCTGCCTCAGCCTCCCAAGTAGCTGGGATTACAGGTGCCCGCCACCACACCTGGCTAATTTTTGTATTTTTAGTAGAGATGAGGTTTCACCATGTTGGCTAGGCTGGTCTTGAACTCCAGACCCTCAGATGATCTGCCTGCCTTGGCCTCTTAAAGTGCTGGGATTATAGGCATGAGCCACTGCACCCGGCCTGCTTCTTTGTATTTTAATATTTGTGTATTTTATGATTTTCTAGAGAAGCATTGGTTTCATTTTGGCCTAAGTATGATACAAGAGGTGGAAGGCTGGTTTCTCTGTTTCCTTCAGCTGCTCCTGACTGGTCCTCATCTGTTCCTTCTCAGATCACAGTTAACTGAATATATTTTAAAAGAGAAAACTCGTAAGTGCCCTAAGGAAATAAGGAATTATTTTGAACACTAAAGCTAAAAGCATTCTAACATTGTGTTGCTTTTATGTTCTTTACTAAATTTGCTTCATGCACACACACACATATATGAGTGTATTTCTCAGTATGCAGATGATTTCAAGGACTGGCTTCCTTCGTGAAAACGTATTGTTGGTTGCAAGAAGATAGGGGACTGGAAACATGATTCGTCTGTCTGTAGAGGTGAAGTTCCAAGAAGCTCACCACTGTCCAGTCTTTATGCTTATGAACTTGTTGAGTGAGTTCTTTTTTTATAGTGTACCCATGTCTAGGAATTTTGGCTGAAATCAGCTTCTTTGCTTTTTTAGGCTTTTTGCTAGTGATAGTGTTGTCTTTGTTCTGTAAAACAACTGTAAAGGAATACCAACAATCTAGTGCAGAAATTCTTTTGTAAGAACAAGCTACCCTGATGTCATGTCGTGTTTTAGGACTGTTTGCTTCTCAACCTGATGAAGTTGTTCTTAGCTGTTTGCTTTGTTTTCTCATCCACAGCAGTATTCCTTTCTTTGCCTTTAATGCAATTGTATCTTGAGCAGGCTTGTTAAATCCCGTGGGAGGCTTTTTTTTTTTATAGGTCCTTTCTCTACTTGGCTATGTTGCCTGCTGAGTTTAAAGCCTTTTTATGATATTTAACAAAGCCCTCTGTGTTCAGCGTGGGTTGTGGTTGTGTTTAATGTTTCAACCTAGACTCGTGTATTAAGTACAGATATCATCTGTCACTTAACTTAGCCTTGCTCTCAGTGTGTTTATCATCATGTCTCTAAGGCCATCCTAAATACGTGACCTGGAGAGAGAGGGGGTGGCTAGGCCAAATGCTGGGATGCCTGCACTCCGTTTCTTAGCCGTGAGTCTGTGCTTGGAAACCCACGAGAACTCTGGGGAGCCACAGGCCTTGGGGCTTTTAGCTGTCCCCCTTTTCTCTTACTCTCCGGATGAGTGACTTGGGAACTTCCGAGCAACTTAAAATATTTAGCTCACTTTACTTTAATAAACCATTTTTAGTGCTATCTATGATAGGGTCCTTCCAGTGGGAGGTACACAAATTTAACTTAACTATAGTTAAACAAGAGCCAGAAAGGTAAAGAAGGTATTGTTGAGAACAAATACGGCTGGATGCACTTTTGGGGTGCAAATTTGTCTCTTCTCTGTGTCAGTTGTATCTCCCCAAAGCAAGGAATAAGTGCTGGAGTTGAGTGCGTCAGAGCAGGGCTTGTGGCAAGGCAGGAAGAGGCTGCACAAAGCACAGATGTGCAGTTTCATTAGTCAATATGGAGGAATCCTGAGGTACCCACTGGCTATGTTGAGTAAAGGAAAGAAAAAACAAAGGCATACCATGTGGAAAAGAAGAAATAAAACTACCTCTTTTGGGAGTATCTGGAAAACCCTAGAGCAGTCCTGTCCAGTAGAAATACAAAATTAATATGCAAACGTCAATGTTATTCATATATACAAAAATAATCAGAAGATATTATGGAAGAGACAACCCCATTAACAATAGCAACAACGAGAAAATATTTAGGAATAAATGTAATGAGAACTGTTCAAAAGCTAAGTGAAGAAAACAATAAGTTGAGAAAGACACAGAAGTCGCCTTGAGCAGGTGAAGACACCTTGTTCTCGGTTAAGATGGCTTGGCTCATTAAGATGTCAGTTGTCAGGTAATTTTCAAATTTAATGTGATGCTAATATTTGAAAGCAAAAAGACTCAGCTTTTTTTTCTTGGGCTGGACATGTCGATTCTAAAATTGAAATAGCATGAATACCTAGAAAACTTAGAAAAGAAAGAGCCAAGAAAAGGAGAATAGCTCTACTAGATATTAAAACATACTACAAAGGCTATATGGAAAATAGTGTGGCAAGGTTGCATGAAGAACCAGACAGACCAATGGAGGAAATAAGCCCATATATAGATGGAAATCTAGTATATGATAAAGATAGTATCTCAGATTGTTGGGTCAAAGATAGATTGTTAGAGTCAACGTTCTTGGGACAATTGGACTCCATTTTGTAAAATACATCATTAGGATTTATAGCTTACACCACATGCAAAAATAGGCTGCAAGTGGGTCAGAGAACTCAGTGTGAAAAAGGCAACTGTTCCAATGTTAGACACAAACATGGTTGAATATTACCTATGTGTTGGGAAAGGCTTTTTTAAAGGCGTAACTCAAAATTCAGCTTCAACAAAGAAAAGATGGATGAATTTGACTGCATTCCAAAATACTGCGACCAGCCTGGGCAACATGGCAAAACCTATTTTTACAAAAAATACAAAAATAATTTGGGTGTGGTGGCACACACCTGTAGTCCCAGCTACTTGGGAGGCTGAGGTGGGAGGATCACTTGAGCCCAGGAGGTTAAGGTTGCAATGAGCCATGATGGTGCCACTCCAGCCTCGGTGACAGAGCGAGACCCTGTCTCAAAAAAAAAGTAACAACTTTGCCTGACCAAAAACAAAACAGAAAAACACAATAAGGTCAAAAGACAAAAATACCAATTGTGTGAAAACCTTTGTAGCATATCATAAATGTTTTAAAAGTTGAGGGAGAAGAAACCCGAAATTCTAGGAAAATGGGAAAAAGGTATGAACAGACACATATGCACATATACACGTACATAAACATGGCCCATACACTTTACCAAGATACCATTTCTTACAGATGTGCAAATAATCAAAAGTCTCACTTGATAGCTATTTCTAATAATGTTGCTATTTCTCATGTACGTGCTTAATTGGAAATGGTGTATTAAATAAAGGTGAAGAGGCAGTTGCCTTTTCAGCTTAAAAGAGCATTAAAGTTTATGATTGTTAACTTCTAAATTTATTCTCAGTGTGCTTTGAAATAGACTTTATAACAAAAGCAGCACTAACTCTCCCTAGATTTCCTAGGAAGCAGGTACCAAATTCTTATGCACCTGCATGCACAGGCTGCCAGGATGCCCCCGCTCTACTGTGGATTATTCTAGGCTGTTTCTCCTTCCTTCCAACCACCACACCCACATCCCTAAACCTAGGGGTTTAAATTTAGGTAACACACCTAGGGCTTGTTAAATTTAGGTAGTTTCCACACTTCGACCTTTTTTCTTAGGATGGCTCTGTATTCATTATGGATTTCATAAGTCACATGGCTGGAAGGTACCTGATATTCTTAGGATGGCTCTGTATTCATTATGGATTTCATAAGTCACATGGCTGGAAGGTACCTGATACAGATTAAACACAGAATTTAGTTAGGATAGCATTCTGTCTTTGAAGGCTGTGTGATTGCAGCCCAGGCCAAGCCAGGCAGAAGTTGGGTCACTTGAGCAGGGCCCTGCAAACACACCTGAAGGAGGTGGCATTGCTAGGACTCTACTTTTGGGGCTGAATCAGCAGAGGCAAAAGGACTGAGTAAGTCCTTGCTGAGGATGGCACAGCTCTCAGCTACAGAGCTAGGACCAGACCAGGCTCTGGGGTTCATGCGGGAATCACCAGTCTGCGCTGCTGCCTCCTCCTGTATGCGTGTGTGTGTGCGCGCGTGTGCGTATATGTGTGTGCGCGCGTGTGCGTATATGTGTGTGCACGTGTGTTTGCGCGCGTGTGTGCGCGCTTGTGTGTATATGTGTGTGCGCGCGTGTGCGTATGTGTGTGCACTGCGCGCGTGTGCGCGCTTGTGCATATATGTGTGTGCACGTGTGTGCGCGCGTGTGCGTATATGTGTGTGCACGTGTGTGTCCCCATGAGTCCTGTGGCACCACCGAGTTGTCATGAATGCTTTCGTTTAACGAGTCAGGAGCAGTTTCCCATTTTGTAGGCTGTTTTTCTGTGACCTGGATTTTAATGGCTTGGTCAACAGGTGGAAAAGTATCCACCTTTCCTTATCAGTCTGGAGGCTGGTTGGTTTTTTCTGCGTCGCCTGCGTCACCACTTCCTGATGTCAGCGCACGGGGCTCTGCGCCCCCCCAGGACTGGAGGCTCCGTGTAGATGGAGACTTTTGTTTTTGTCCCATCCTCCTGGCATGTAGAAGGCCCTCAAATACTTGTTGAAGAATAAATGGACGGGCTTTGGTATTTTATAACCTAGCAATGCACCTTTTGGTTGTTTCCAGGTTTACTATTAAAACCAACGTCTTGATGCCCCTCTTTCTGGATGCTTTTGGTGATAGAGAAGCCAAATCACGCTGGTTTTAAGCAAAAATCATGTATTTGCTCCTGAAATTTTCCTTTGAAAACTTTCTGTGTGCGGTTGTACGTCAGTATGTGGTTTTCAGCCACACTGGGAGGCGCCTTTCTCTCTCTTTTTGTCGCTATAGACATTAGTGGAAAGCCACAAGTAGCGTGGGGGCTGCCTCTAGTCACGCTTCAGCTGCAAGTGCGGTGTGAGCATCTATTTTTACCTCACAGTCCTCGCTCTGAAAAATTCTGACCACTTTTATTTTTAACATTCTGCTCTATTAGCTGGGTGCAGGGAGGAAGGAAGCTCAAATTAGTCAGTTTACTTTGTATTTATTTTTACTTGACCTTTTCACTTCCACATTTTGAGAAGAAAATGTGAGACTCTTTCCTCTGCATAATTTTCTTCCTTGAGGAGAAACCATTTTCAGTCATGCTTGGAAAGAGGTGGAGATAACCTCAGGGTAGCATGTTTAGCGTTTTCCATTCACGAAACAAACCTTAAAATGTTCATCTGTTTATTCTATGAAATAATTAGTTTCTTATTTCCCACGAATTTGAAAACCAGTACATTTCTGTGCCAAGTAATGGCTGTGTTTTCTTGACCATCCGGCAAGTCTCTACCTGGGTGTGGTGACTTGGGGACCGCGTTGTCAAAGAGCCAGTGAGGCGGGGGTGTGGAGAATTTGTTTGCCCTTTGTTTTTCACTTACCTTTTTCTGCAGGAATTGAACTAAACAATTGCTACTGACAATGATGTATTTTAATTCCTAGGAGGTTAAACTCCTCACCTAGAACAGTTTGATTAATAAACCTAATCTATTTAAGCATGTGTCAATCCTTTTGGAAATTGTAATATTCAAGGACTTGCTAGCATTTATGGCTCTTTAAATATTTCTAGTTATAGTTGCTGTCAGGATTCATTTATTTTGATTGGGTAATTAGTTTTTTACCATTATTTTAAAAACTAATAAACATTTTAATCAGATCTCATGGACAGAAAGCCAAGATTCTTGTGCTGCTTCCTAAATGCAGTGGGCGCATCTCTGTCAGTTTTTACCTGCTGGAAGGTACTCCTGAGTGCTGTGCTGAGCTCTGCCCATCTGTCCATCCTCTTGGGACACTCATCCCTTTCCCATTCTCTGCTCTGTGAGGGGATGGTGCTAGTGAGAGCTCAGGTCGAGAGGGCTGGGGTGCTCCTTCGTCTCTCAGCTCATCAGCAGTGACTTGGAAGACAATCAGGGTCTACCTGTGTTGTTGAGAAGCGTTACGCAAGCAGGAAAGCGCACAAGAGGAAGGCGCAGCTGAGTGAAGCATTGCAGAGCCCGCCAGGCTGTGCCTTCCACCCAGGCCAGCACACGGAGCGCTGCAGTCCCTGAAGGCTTCCTCAGGCTCCTCCTGTTGGCGTGGGTGCCTGCCACTGACCTCTGTGGGTGACAGGTTTGTCACTTGAGCTTGTATCCTGCAACCTGTTTGTTTGGGCGTGCCTGTTTGTTTGTTTTTAACGTTTTAATAAACTTTATTTTTTAGAGCAGTTTTATATTTACAGCAAAATTGAGGGACAGGTACAAAGATTTCCCGTATGCCCCCTGCCCCCACACAGGCACAGCCTCCCCCATTATCAACATCCGTATCCGGAGCCGTGTATTTGTTACAGTTGATGACCCCATGTTGACACCTCATTACCCAGAGTTCATGGTTTCCATGAGGGTGCACTCTTAGTGTTGGACGTTCTATGGGTTTGTACACATTTATGACGATATGGATCCATCCTTACAGTATGCAGAATTGTTTCATTGCCCTTAAAGTCCTATGCTTAGCCTATTTTTTAACTATATAAATGCAGTCAAAGGATGTGTTTTTGTGTGTTTTCTTTTGTTCAGTATTACATGTGTGATGAGACTTGCCTGTGTTGTTGCCTGTTCGTTTTTACTGCTGTACATAGTACTCTGCTGTTTGACCATATCATATATTCATTCTGCTGACGATGGATAGTTAGACGGTTTCCAGTTTGGGGCCATTATAAGCAAAACTGTTCTGACCATACTGATACATGTGTTTTGGTAAAGAAGCACAGGTGTTGCTGGGGTGGATGGGCTGGCTGTGAGCACACGCACTTCAGCGTGAGTGGGTGATGCTGGCATGGTGCCTGGTTGGGCACTCAACTGCCTGCTTTCACCACACTCCCCATGTGGCATCAACTGCTTTGGAAGTTTCTGTCTTCTTAATTTTTACCATTCTGGGCAGGTGTGTGTGGTATTTTTCTGTAGTTTTGATTCTCATGGACCTGCTTACTAGTGAGATTGAGCTTTTGTTACATTTCATGGAATTCTGGACTCTCTGAGATGCCTCCCAAAGTGCCCAGCTACAGCCTCTGTCATCAGGGAAGGAGCAGGTATGGGAATGGTGTCTCTGCACACCTCATGTCTTGCCTACATCCTTCTTCAAGAAAATACTGGTTTTCCCCCTGAAAATGATAGAAATTGACTCATCATTTTTGAGTCTAGCTCAGGTGTCTTTTCTGGAATTGCCTTTTTTATTCGGTGTAAAGAGGCACAGGGACTTCATATCTGCTATAGATGAGTGAAGGTTGCCTAGACATGCACACAAGGCCCTTGGTGGACTTCCCCTATCCCTGGGGCTCCTCATAACCCTTCCCTCTTCTCTTCCCTGGACTTTCTGGGCTGGGGCCAGGGCTTGGGGTCGGGGGTGAGCCTTCCTCTCGGTGTGTATCTCTGTGTAGAGTTGCATGGTGAGATTCGGCTTCTGTTCTAAATGCAGTTGGGTGGAAATAAAGCAGGGATGGTCCTGAGTCACCCACATTCCTCTTGGTCAGTCTGCCCTGGTGTGAGGAGCTGGCAGCCTCTGCAGACCTTTGGTCCCACTTCCCATTTGGGGGATGTAGGCTTGTGTTATAAAATAGGTGAACATGTGATTTACTGATTTACTGCTTGAACAGGGACACTTTTGAGAGTGAAAGGGCCTGCAATTATTAATGACCCCAAGATGACATGTGATAACGAGGAAGTTCTGGGGAGATCAGGTCATGATCCCCAGAGTTATGATCTCAAAGATGGAGAGTGTCATAGGGAGGATGCCCCTCTGTGAGTTGTGAGGGGCCACGTGTGTCCTGTGTACACAGGCCCTAAGGGGTGCTGGGGCCATGTGGGTAGTCATAGGAAGATGGCTGGAGTTGGGAGGCAGAATGTTTAAGAAGTATTTCACTCATTGACTAAACTTAGTTGAGTTTTATTTGTCTGTGAAAAGGGAAATCTACTTGCCTTGCTTGCACGCCTTTCCTAGGGATATTTTGGGGACTAAAATGTGATAGTGAATTTTAAAATATTGGTTGAAATGGCCAGGCTCGGTGGCTCACGCCTGTAATTCCAGCACTTTGGGAGGCCGAGGTGGGTGGATCACAAGGTCAGGAGTTCGAGACCAGCCTGGCCAACATGGTGAAACCCCATCTCTACTAATAATACAAAAATTAGCCAGGCGTGGTGTTGCACACCTGTAGTCCCAGCTACTCGGGAGGCTGAGGCAGGAGAATTGCTTGAACACAGGAGGTGGAGGTTGCAGTGAGCTAAGATCGTGCCACTGTACTCCAGCCTGGGCGACAGAGCAAGACTCTGTCTCAAAAACAAAACAAAACAAAACTATATATATATATGTGTGTGTGTGTATATATATATATGTGTGTGTGTGTATATATGTGTGTGTGTGTGTGTGTGTGTGTGTATATATATATATATGTTGACATGTGAGTTTTTCAGTTTACTCTGAACTCTCTCCTTGTCTGTTTTTTAAAGCATCCTGAAAGGGAGTGTCTGTACAGCGTCACCTGTTAACAGCCACTAGGAAGCTGCCCTGAGAGTTGGACCTGGCCGAGCTCTCTGATACTTGAGCAGCCCTGCCCAGAGGAGCCTGTGCAGCACATGAGGGTTCTTCAGTATTGGTCGGTGTTTCGGGAGCCCTTACAATGAATGAACACAGCTGCAGCCCAGTGACCCCTCTTGGACAAGTGCGGAGATCAGTTTTAGCTCAGCTGCTTTCTGAATGTTTCAGATATTTCAAACTGGAAGTCACAAGTAGCTTTTACTTTTGCAAGCAGTCTGCTGTTATGAATAGCACGTATAAGAAAATTTATAATTCAGTTAGTTAAAAATATGTTTGAGCACCTGTTAAAGCACCAGAATTCTTTTATAAATTGAGGAAAGCCATGCCATCTAACACATATGTGGCATTAAGTGTTCTTTTAATAAATATTATGCTTAGTAGACATACTCTACATACCAATCAGAGGTTGCCATCCTAAACCAAAACTACATATCCAGCACATTCTGATATTAGGCGGTGGCTTACACCAGGGAAGGCTTGGAGGTTGTTTTGGCTCCTACCCTTTAAAAGGCTTACCAGCTTTTAGATGGAGTCATAGATAAGACATGGATAGTAACAGAAAGGAAGCATGGCTTATCAGCTGTGTCAAGTCAGGACACATGTATCCCCATTCACATTGCTGAACTCAGGAAGATATCCAAGCACCATTGTGACATACTTGTCCACAGAGACCGCAGATAACCCCAGCACCCTCTCAGAGTGGTGCCTTGGTGTTTTTGTTCATAAAGCCTTGATGCTCAGGCCCATCCGTCATCCCGGGCAGGTGCGTAGCCTGTGTGGTGGATGCCAGGGTCAGGGGAGGGCTTTGCTTTTGCAGAGTCTCGAGGCTTAGGCTGAATGTGTTTTTAAAGGTCCGACTATACTGAAACAAACATTAAAAAATATTCAACATCACTTAATTTTTATTGCTTAAGAGCTTATCTGGCTCTCCCATTGGCTCAGTAATTTGGTTGCTATTAATAACGTTGTTGAGGTTGTCATCGTCACCTTAACATTGTCATCATCACCTCCAGTAATAGCTAACATTTATTGAGTTCTTCCTCCATGCAGGAACTGTGCTGAGTTCTTTTTCTGCATTATTTTATTCAGCCTTTGCTGCAGCCATCTGCAGCAGGCACTGTTACTAACCTTCTCCTGCCAGAGGGAACGCTTGAGATGCTGCAGGGTGACAGTAGCCTCAGAGCCAGGGGGCTGCATTGCTGGATCTTCAAGCAGGCAAACTGCCAACTCTGTGTTCATAATCCTGGTCATGGGCTCGCACTGACCTGTAGAGAGCTGGATATGGGGAATGGATTGGAGAGCTTTTATTTGAAACAACAGCAAAGTGGCATGATCTTTTGGGAATACACTTTTTCAAGTCATGTATCCACTCACAGACAGGCTTTGTGAGCCTCTTGCTTTGTTAAGGGCCCAGGGAAGATTTTAAGGCGACCAAACTTCCAGTGACAAACAATATTTGAAATTAGTCTATTCCTTTACCCCAGAAATGCAGAAATACATGGTTTTGGATGTTTGACCTCATTGGTTGGTGGGCATGAGGAGGTGGTCTGCTTTGGTGCCAGTGACCGTCTGTGAGTCACAGAGTGAGTGAATGCTGAGCCGCTGTGATGGGAAAGCTCTCTGCTGAGTTGGTTCAGTCTGGGTCACAGAGTGAGTGAATGCTGGGCTGCTGTGATGGGAAAGCTGTCTGCTGAATTGGTTCAGCAGTGCACCTGCTTCCTCACGGGGCATTAGCCGGTCAGGGCGATGTCTCTGGATCACTCAACTTGTCCCTGACAGAGCAAGGAATAAGAAACCCAGTTAGATTGTCTGTATCATCAGATGCCATTTACATCCCAGTCAAATTAGCAGCCAGATCACTGATTTCTTATAGGTATACATCTTTTGACTTCAGCATAATCTCTTCCCCTTTTTCTGCATCCTTGGGTTTTAAAGGATGTTTACTATGTAAATGTTTAACATGTTTACTATTTAAACTTAATAGTTGAGGTAGCTTTTAAAATTTGTGTCCATTAAACCCAAGGACTCTTGCAGAAGTCGTATGGTTTTTCTTCTTTCATCTATAATGCATGTAAGGAATTATTCACTTGCTCTAAAGTTCAAATGTGTGAGTTTCTGGTGCTGTTACATAACACGTGGTATTGTGGGTCAAGGGGAGTTAGTGTCTCACCTAAAATCTGGGGCCATGATGTCACCACATTAAATAGTAGGGATGCTTGCTCATCTTTTAAGGGTATTTCTTCCCCCTGCAAAGCAAAATGCTGAAGAGATACATATTTGTTAATTAACTGATTTCACCCTCGTCATCCATCCTCTTTCCATAAGGAACTGTATGTTGCATTCTTGCTGAGTGCAGACTAAGTCCTTTGTGCAAGGTTGGGTCATCCTGGGGTGAAAAGGTAAGTGCTTTCGGGGATGCTGATTAAGGTGGTATCTGCTGTGCCTCTCTCAGTGTCCCCAGGGCGAAATTCCTCAGGTTACAGTGGCAGGAACAGCTGCTTGAGCTCATTTTTGTCTTCTGAACAGGATCAGTCTTGGAATTGGCCTTTTCTCCATCTTCAGCCCCAGGGTGGGGCTGGCCTGGGTAGGGCCTGCGCCTGTGCTTGCTGCGCAGCAGCACCCCTGCGTGCCTTCCCTTGCCTCGGCTGCTAAGTCTTTGGAGAAAACTCTACATTGCCAAGCTTCTTCTGAAAGATTTAATTTTTTATTTAGAAACAGTATGCTTATTACAGACTGTGCAGACTTTGCAGAAATGCAAAACTAGGAAGAGACATATTAGTCCCTTTGCATAGAAGCAACTTTTGTTATTATTTTGTATGTTTCCTTTGTATCTGTATTAGTGTGTTCTCATACTGCTAATAAAGACATACCAAAGACTGGGTGATTTATGAAGGAAAAAGGTTTAACAGACTCACAGTTCAGCATGACTGAGAAGGCCTCAGGAAACTTACAATCATGGTGGAAGGGGAAGCAAACACATCATTCTTCACATGGCAACAGCAAGGAGAAGTGTCCAGCAAAATGGGGAAAAGCCCCTTACAAAGCCGTCAGATCCCGTGAGAACTCACTCACTATCACGAAAACAGCATGAGGGTAACTGCCCCCATGATACAATTACCTCCCACTGGGTCCCTCCCACAGCACGTGGGGATTATGGGAACTACAATTGAAGATGAGATTTGAGTGGGGACATGGCCAAACAATATCTGTGTCTTTTTTCATGTATATGTTTTTTTTTTCTTTTCTCAGCATAATTGATATACTGTGGTTACTCTACCTATTTGTGTAGGCCTCTCAGGTCATTGAAACAAGATGTTGTACAAATTAGCAGATGACACTGGCGCATGGAGGAATGGTTTGTATTTTAATTTTCACTGTATAACATTTTAGTAAAGCTTTTACTGGAAATGTTTTCTACCCATATCCTCAGGAAACCATGTGAAGTAGACAGCCTTGCATTTCCTGGATTGCTCCCTCGAAGGATGAAGGGAGCAGTTCTATCAGATGCTCTTCCCAGCCTCCTTCTCCAGGGAGACCTAGCCGCTGCTGTTTTGAGTTTCCTGGGAGGACATCCCCCAAGGACTCTCTGGCTTGTCCTTGTGAAGTTGGTTTGCTTTTTGTGCCAGCTTTTTAGGCTTACAAAATGTTGTGTGTGTGTACATAGGAAAAATATGGAAGGGTACGTACCCACTAGTTTGTGTCAGCACTGGATTCTGGCATATATAATAGATGAGGAGTTTCTGTTATGTATATGGGATTTCTGAGATACACAGGGGTTTTCTGTGCACATCTCTCTATAACGCAGCTGTCCCGTCACATCCTGCATGTCAGTACAGGTAGTGCCGTTCTCTTCGTAGGACTGTGACACTTTATCTTTGTTCTTTCACAGTTAAAAAAAAAAAAGCTTCTTTAAAATTCTGACTTTATATAACTAACGCAATGCTCATGCTACTTCACTTGTTACAAGAACATATTATTCTGTCCTATAGATGTACTGCAGTTATTTAATGGATCAGCTATTGATAAGGGGGCCCTTTTAATGTAACTATTTTAAAAAATGGAAGTAATACCAGCACATGGTAAAAAACACATTGCAGCTCATGAATGGGTATAAATTAAGTTGGAGATTTCCTCTTTCTCCCTCCCCACCCCATGCCCCGTTTCCAGAGGTAAACAATGTACAGTTTGTGTTTTCTTCTCTTAAGTTCTTCTTGTAGTCACCATTATAGCTTTAACTTTTCTGTTTGTGAGTTCATGTGGAAGTCAACAGTGCCTTCACACTCTGAGTTTTGATGAGATTTATATTGACAAGGCTTAAAACATTTGTAGTGTTTCCCATCTATCATTAGGCTCCCTGTGCTTTTCCTGCAAGTGTAGTCTAAACATTTTAATATAAGAAAAGTAACATTTATAGTATTATGATAGTATATTTTGCCATAGAACCAAGTGGTATGAAATGTAATTCTGCCTCACCAAACCTTTGCCAATAAAAGGAGAATATTCAGATGGAACTCCCAGTTTCTCTTTAGGTGTCCGCTGTTTCTAGCTGCCTCAGTTGCCATGGTTTCTCCTATCCCATGGTGTTGGTTTCTTGGATTCTATTTTTGTTTTGCTGGAGCACCTCCTTAATCCACTTCCTTATAGAATGGATGGCTGACAGACTTCTTAATTCACTTCCTTATAGAATGGATGGCTGACAGACTTCTTAATTCACTTCCTTATAGAATGGATGGCTGACAGACTTCTTGGGTTTTTGCACGTAATGTTCAAACATGCAATTACTTTGTTCTCATACTTATTGATAATTTGGTAGGGTCTAGAATTCTAGGATCGTATAATTTTCCTTTTGAAATCAGAAAATATTCTCTATTATTTTCCAGAGTCTAGTGTTGGTAATGAGAAGTTGGATATCCGTTTGATCCTTGTTCTACTGCAGGTAAACATCTTCTACTCTCTCCTTCTCTCCCTCCCTGGGCTTCATGTCCTGACGGTTTGATTTTTCGTTACCCTAAACCCGGATCTGCTTCTCTTCCAGCCCGCGTGCCCATATTGGGATCACCCCTTAGAAAACCTCAGGCTTTCTTTGGAGAGCGATTCTCAGGTTTCAGCCCAGGAATAAAAGCGTTCCCTATGGCTCCTGCTTCTTGGGAAGACCCCTCACCTCTGTTGTCTTGCTCTGCAGTTTCCTCTGCTCTCTCGCATCAACCTGCTTTCGTCTGCCTTATGCCCTAAAAGCCCTGGCAGGCTTTCTTGTGTTCTGCTAAATCCCTCTGTAAATTTTTAGCACCGTGCACTATTATGGTTCATTCACCACCAAAAAGTACCTTTTCTGACATTTTAACAGAGCTCTGGGAAGAATGGAGAGAAGATATGGTGTACTTTATCACCATTTTTAATTAAAAGCCCTTTTAATTAATTAATTTAGAGGCAGGGTCTCGCTCTGTCACCCAGGGTGAAGTGCAGTAGTGTGATCGTGGCTCACTGCAGCCTCCACCTTCTGGGCTCAAGCAATACTCCTGTTATCAGCCTCTTGAGTAGCTTGGACCACAGTCACGTGCCACATTGACTGATTAATTTTTAAATTTTTTGTAGAGGTGGGGTCTTGCCGTGTTGCCCAGACTGGTCTCGAACTCCTAGGCTCAAGCCATCCTCCCACCTTGGCCTCCCAAAGTGCTGAGCACACCACTGTGCCTAGCCTAAAAGCCTTTTTAGATCACTCTCAGTGGCAAAATTAGTGCCTTGGTCACCTTTACCAGTAGCTGTTCTTGCTCTCCAGTGGAAATATCACTCAACATTATCAAAGAATCGGGATGAAATTAAATGAACCAGTTTAGGTACTTTTGATACAGAAGTTCTTATGAGACGTGTTGTTCTTTACTATGTAAGAGTGTGGCCATAAACTTAAAAATAGCTGGGTAACTTTGTTACACTTGCCTTGATGGTGTGTTGCAAGTTAGTTAAATTTCATATACTCTTAATCAGCACATCACCAACAAATAAAATGTTACTGCTGCATCAGAATTTAGAGGAGGTTCTATACATCTGTTTCGAAATAAAGACGGAGATGACTTAGGGTACTTATAAGTTGTTGAAAAATCATGGCTCCTGAAACTATGAATTGTCATCGTGGTATATACCCAGACAGCCCACATTAAACTGCTGTGAACATGAGAAAATGGACATCGAAATGATAAAAGCAAGAGTGTTGGTAATTGAAATCCATTATAAATAAAGCTGTCATTGGTAACGCACGAAATGCTGTTTCTGAGGATGAGGACTTTGTGGCCCCCACGTGGGCGCATTACCAAGCTTTGCAGCTCTGCACAGGAGCCTCCCTTCTTGATACTGAACTAGACCTCTATAAAGCCTAGTAACACCTCAGGTTTAGGTTATAAATCTTAAATTTTAGTGCCCCGTAATAATTCACTTCGTAGGTTACCATGGACTAGCCCTTAGTTGCACTGAGAAAAGAAAGGCTATGAAATTTTGTTGGTGAAGTGCCAAAGAAAGGATTGGGTTTTGGGTCATCTCACAGCCCATGGTGAGGGCTGTCTTTGGCCTCTACCGCACGGACAAGTTTGCATGTCAGATGTTGGCACACTTGTGGGGTATTGGGTTCTTTTGAATATCTGATTAAATCCATTTACATTTTCGTTAGAAAAATTCATCTGTGCATATGAACGCATCATTTCATATATGATTTCACACTTCTCATTGTCTTCCTGAAGCCCATTCGTGAACTGTCGATTGAATGCCTGCTCTGGAGAGGAGTGTGAAGCTGCACTTCTTCCGTCTCCTCCTGGCACTCGCTCAGGATCCTCACAGGTGTGGAAAACACTCTAAGGAAGCCTGCGAAGGCCAGATGTCTCCCTTTTGCCTTCTTTGGTTCTGTTCATGATGGCCTTATCACGGACACACTAGGACCCTCTGAGGACACCACCCCTGCCACCGCATTGCTCTGGGGGCAACTTCCGAGCTTATTGTCTTCCTCCAGCAAGGGCAGGAATGTGGAGAAGCTGTGTGTGCTGGGCCTTTACTTTCATTATTGGCGACAATGTTTGTTTTCATTTTATCAGCTTTCTTTATCCTCCATTTTTTTATCTTCCACAGGTAGTGTATATTTTGAGAACAGCGTGAGGTTTATTCTACTAATGGAAATTTACAAAAATACCAGTTTGAATGATTGAGAAATCTAAGTTAAAGAACCCTTGAATAGAAATGTCGCTGTTCAGTGCGTTGATCGATTCTCACATCTGAAGCCAGCTGTGTATTCTTGGTATGTGTGTATTCAACTCAGGTGTGACCTACTGTCTTTTATATGTCCCTGGATTTAAATATGCTAATTTTGTTATGATTTTTGTGTCTACATTTGTAAAAGCCGCTGATAGTTCATGTCTGGCACATTCTTGACAGATTTTACTACCGAGATTATACTGGGCTCGTAAAACGAGTGGGGGATGTTCCCTGTTTTTTTGTTCGCTGGAACGGTATGTGTAAGCTTTGTGCTTTTCCTTTATTCAGCCAGTGCTTTCACATGCTGCTTCCTTTTATAGCCACTCTTTTTTGCTACATATTCTTTCTCTACAAGAGCACAGTTCTTCTGGAATGTGTCCCTTAGGATTAACTATCTCAGGTGTGATTTGTGTGAAAACATCTTTATTCTTATTGTGGAAAGACTGTTGTTAGGTGGGGAGTTTACTTTCCCGTCTGCACATTGAAGATCTCATCCTGCTCCACTACTGGTCTCTTCCCTGGGCCCTGGGCATCCGCTCTCAGCCTGACTGTCCCCCTGTGCTCCCGCATCATTTCTCTGTGCTGTGTCTGGGTTCATGCTTATTTGTATTTATTCTGCTGCGGGTTAGTTGGCCGAATCTGTTTCTGTGAGAGCTCCCATGCTTTTGGTACTTTCTGTCTCTCGTGTGTCTCTGCACTGCTTTCTGGGTTATTGCTTCGGTTCTACTGCCCAGTTTGGCCATTTTCTCTTTAACTGTGTCTAATATGCTGCTAAAACCTGTCCACTGAGCTTTTAGCGTTAGTCATTATAGCTATTATTTCTGGAGGGTCTCTCTGCTTCCCTGTCCTGCCAAGTCCAATTGGTCATTCTTAGTTTACCTGTTTACTAACTGTTTGTATCTCCTTTAGCCGTTGTTTTCTGTACGTATATGGTGTGTTTGACTTTTCCAGCATGTTCAAGGCTGTTTTCCCAGCTGTATCCCCTCCTCTCGGGCCATCAACTTTTTGTTCCCCATTGTTGCTACTAATTCTTAGGACTAATAAAGCACTTCAAATGGCAGCTACTGTCAAAAATTAGGAAGAAGGCTTCTTTGCCGTAGCAGCCTCCAGTTGATTACTTTCTCTTGACCTGTACTTTACTTGCCACGAGCATATCATGCCTCTGTACTTGCTGCAGTAATTACTGTCTCGAAACAGTGAAATCTCATCAGTTGCCCATATGTGTTTAACTGCACACGCGTGCATAGTCTTGGCTTTATGCGAGGTAGAAAATGAGAGTACTTAGTTTTTGGCAGAGCAGAGCCTCAATTTCCACAGTCTAATTAAATTATAATGATAAATATCACTTTAAAAGGAAACAGTTGCTTCGTTTAATCAATATGATTATTACTGGCACAGCAAATCCATCAAGTGCTGTGAATGATAAATGTGTTTTAATACAACTTGCAGTGTACTTGCTGTTGGTACAAGGCATGTTAAATCCTCAGTGGTCCCTCTTTTCATAGCATTGCTGTGGCACTGGCATTTCCCTTTGTTAGGAGATAGTGGGGTATAAACCCATTGTGGAAACCCCTTCAGCTTGACAAATTTGGAGTCATGCTATTTTCAGAAGAGGATTTCCTGCGACTAGGAGCAGTCACCCAGAGAAAGCTCTGGAAAGGTGGTGGTGCTGGGGTTGAAGATGAGCTGCTGGCCCCTGGCATGTCAGTGGGCGGAGGTGGGAGACGTGCAGAGCTGCCTATCCCACAGTACTTCCCTTTCCCCATCCACCCTTTCAGGTGGCTCACTCCCCACCAGTTTCGCAGGATGGCTCAAGGCAAATGGAGAAAACGGCACAGGTTGAAACTCTTGGCCGTAGCTTGCGAGCTTGCCTCTTAGCACCTCCAACCACGATCTCCTTGAATGTAGTCTCCTCAGTCTCTCTTTTTTGTGTGAGGAATATAAAGTTTCTAGTTGCCTTTTCGCATAATCTCATAGCTCTTCTGCACCTGTGGTTCCTTAGCTCTTATCTGAGACCGTGGCAGGCAGACAGCTGGTTGCAGTGGTTGGTTAGTTGTTTCATATGGTTGATCATACAGCAGCTACTTGGTCCCATTGTTATTGATAGTATTGTATAAAATCAGTTGTCATTGCTGGCATTTTTTTTTGTTCTGTTGCCTGATTATTTGTTTTCTAATACATTTTTATTGTGAGATACCTTTCTTGAACATGGACACATATATAAGAGAATAATTTTAATTGCATGTCCATGTAACTCTCACCCAGGTTAAATAGACACTGTGTACCTCACAGTTTCCTTCATGCTCCTCCCTGATGATAACTCCCCCTCATCCATATGACACATCTAATATATACTACGTGTGTGTGTGTGTGTGTGTATAATTAATTATAATTATTATTATTTTGAGACAATGTTTTGCTCTGTGGCCCAGGCCAGAATGCAGTGGTGTGATCACAGTTCTCTGCAGTCTCAACTTCCTAGGCATAGGTGATCCTCCCACTGCAGCTTCCAGAGCAGTTGGGATTACAGACATGAGCCACCACTCCTGGCTAATTTTGTTTACTTTTTATAGAGATGGTGTCTCCCTGTGTTGCCCAGGCTGTTCTTGAACTCTTGGGCTCAAGCGATCCTTCCGCCTCTGTCTCCCAAAGTGCTGGGCTTACAGGTGTGAGCCATCGTGCTGGCCTTTTTGTTTGTTTTTGAGACAGTGTCTCACTCTGTCACTCAGGCTGGAGTGCAGTGGCAGGATTATGGCTCACTGCAGCCTTGAACTCCCAGGTTCAAACAGTCCTCCCGCCTTAGCCTGCTGAGCAGCTGACACCACAGGTGCACACCAGCATGCCTCGCTGAGTTTTTAATTTTTTGTAGAGATGGGGTTTCCATGTGTTGCCTAGGCTGATCTTGAACTCCTGGCCTCACGTGATCCTCCTGCCTTGGTCTCCCAGAGTGCTGGGCTTATAAGTGTGAGCCACTGTGTTTGGTAATATCCTATATTTTGAAATAATACTGTCCTTTTCTTTTTAATTTTACCATGTAAGAATGCATCCCCAATCAATGTAGTTCAGTTTTGCCTGTGATGGAACTTTATCCAAGGGGAGTCATCAGTATATTCTTTTGTGTTTCTCTTGATTTATTAATGAAGTGGATTACATAAATCGATTTTCATACATTAAATCATGTTTGCATTCCCATCATAAATTCATCTTAATCATGTTTGATCGCTTTAAAAAATATTATTGGATTGAGTGTGATCACATTTTGTATACGATGTTTACACTGTATTTGTAAGATTGACTTACTGCTTCCTTTTCATCTTCACAGAAGTGTCTTGTTGAATGTTGGATTCACTTTCTAGAGAAGCCATCTAGTCATGGAGTGTTCTTTCCAGGATGATTTTTGTTTACTGACTATAATCCATCCCTCCCTCCCTGCATTCCTTCCTTCCTTCCCTTTTCTTCTCTTTTCTTTTTCTTGAGACAAGGTCTCACTCTGTCTCCCAGGCTCTAGAGTGTGATGGTGCAATTTCGGCTCACTGCAGCCTCTGCCTCCTGGGCTCAGACGATCCTCCTGCCTCAGCCTTCTGAGTAGCTGTGACTACAGGTGCACGCCACCACACCTGGCTAATTTTCTTTATTTTTTTTGTAGAGACAAGGTCTCACTATGTTGCCAGGACTGATCTTGAATTCCTGGGCTCAAGCAGTCTGCCTGCCTCGGCCTCCCAAAGTGCTGGGATTCCATGCATGAGCTACTGCATCTGGCTTCTAATTCTTTAATGTTTGTAGTTTTGTCAGATTTTCTGTTTCCTCCTGAGTTAGTGTTAATAAGTTGTATTTCTTTTCTTTTTAAATGGTGTGTGTGTGTGTGTGTGTATGTGTGTGTGTGTGTGTGTGTGTGTGTGTGACAGGGTCTCACTCTGGTTGCCTAGGCCGGAGTGCAGTGGTGCAATCTCAGCTCACTGCAGCCTCGACCATTCAGGCTCAGGTGATTTCTCACACCTCAGCCTCCGAAGTAGCTGGGATGACAGGCGTGTGTTACTACGCCTGGCTAATTTTTGTATTTTTAGTACAGATGGTTTTGCTATGTTGCTCAGGCTTGTCTTGAACTCCTGGGCTCAAGTGATCCACCTGCCTCAGCCTCCCAGAGTGCTGGGATGACAGACGTGAGCTACCGCACCCAGCCTAATAAGTTGTATTTCTCTTGGAGTTTCTTCATTTAACCTAAGCTTACAAGCTTTTTGGAATAAAGTTTATAAAGCCTCTTACTATATTTTTAGTGTTGTCAGAGTTTAAGTGATAATTCCATTTTGGTTTCTCTTGCCGCCTGATGACCCATTCCCAACTTAGTGACATAAACAACAATCACTTTATTAATGCTCAGCCAGGTAGCCTGAGTGTCTGGAGCTCTGCTTCTGGCTGTCAGCTGTGGCTTTCTTGGTTCTTCTCAGTGTCCTGTATGAGAAGGCTTCTTCAGTGAGGTGGCTGGCTCCCGCCTGGGGCTGACTAGACATCCTTCTCTGCATGTAGCCCCTGTGATCTCTTCAGAGCATCTGAGTTGGCTCCCCAGAGACAGTGTTCCCAGAAATAGGAGGTGGAATCTGGCTTCCTCTTCAGGTGCTGGTCTGGACCTGGCAGTACCACGCCTGCTGCGTTCAATGGGCCAGAGCAGTCACCCGCCTGCTGGGACTCATTGGGGGAAGTAAGATCTTCCCACACAAGGACAGGAGAGTCACATTGTGGCCATCAGGCCTTCCTGCCCTCCAATTCAATTCCAAGGCTGGTTAATTTGGGCTTTTTCTCTTGTGTTCCCTTTCTGTGTTTCCATGAGTCTTGCCAGAGATCACTGGTTCACTGCATTGTCTTTTCAAAGAACCAATGTTTATCTTTGTGTACCTGCCGTTATATGTAATTAATACAGGTTGAATTTCTTACTAGTTCCCTTTTTCTGTTTTCTTTGAGCTTACTTTGTTCTTCTCTCCCTGACTTGTTCAGGTAGGCACTCTTTAATTTTTTTACTCCTATTCTAGCTTGAGCACCGAGCTATAAAGGTCCCTCTGATGTACTGCTTTATCTGTGTGCCACACAATTCTGTACATAATCTTTTCTAGTTTTAAGTTCTAAGTGTTTTCTGTTTTCTCCTGTGATTATTTTCTTTTGTCTATGGATTATTTAGAAGTGTATTGCTGAACTCTCAGACATATGGGACTTTCTAGTTATACTTGGCTTGTTAATTTCTAGGCTCATGGTATTACGATCAGAGGATGAGCTCTGTCTGATTTCAGCCACCTGAAATATGTTGAGATTTTCTTTACGGCTGGGATATGGTCTATTTTTAGAAGTGGCTCATGTGTCCTTGAGGAGCTGATGTGTGATGCACTGTTAGGAGCAGCGTCTTGCATGTGACCACCATGCAGCTTGTTAATTGTGTTGTGCAGATCTTCCATCTCTCCACTGTTTTGTTTTTTCAGCCGCTGTCTGCTGTCTCTGTCACCTGCTCCTCTCCACTCCCTCCATGACAAAAAGACTCCGGTGTTTTTGACCATCTTTTATTGCGCCCCTACTGTGATCTTAGTCACGGGGCCAAGCACTCTACATCTGTTCCTCCATTTAATCCTCACGGCACCATCTGCGGCGGGTGTTCCTTGTGTCCTCGTCCTGTCCTCATAGGAGCAAGCCTGGAAGGGGCTGAGTCACTGTTCAAGTCACACGACTGCAAGGCTGAGGTCTAGGGTGGTGGCCTGGACCCCTCTTTCCTGGAAGCCATGCTTTTCCTGAAACCCCTTGCAATACTCCTGGCAAGTATGGCAGTTTTACCTCAGTTGGTATGAGTGTACTCAAATGGGAGGCAACCATTCTCACACTTGATGTTTAGACTTTGCAGCTTCCAAAACCCACTCTGCATATCACCTGCTCCCTCCTCAAAGTGGCTGGGCTTCCCATGCAGTTTCCCATCCTGCAGACGGCCCAGGGAGGTCAGATTTCTTGGCCAGGCTTGCAGAGTTGGTGGGACATGATGTGGGCACTAGAACCCAGTTCTGTAAATCTTGGTTTCATGTCCTTTCTGCTGTGTTTTTCTTTCTCTGTTTAGGCGGTGGACTTTTTGGTGTGTAAAGCTTCTAGAATGGATTTTACTTCTTTGTGGCTCTTTGGATTGAGGGAGGGGCTAGGTGCCATCTCCAGAGAAGCTTGTTCAGCTCATGCTCACTCGGGGCCCTTGCTCTCTGCCCACTGGGGAGGGGCTGTGGTGGAGCTGGATTCGGACTGAGTGGAGGCAACGCTGAAGGTCAGAGGCCAACGTCCTTGCACTTCTTGACACTCTCCACCCAGGCGTGGTGATTGGGACCGCTGGGGAGGGTGATTTGGGAGCTTGAATCTGGTGTGGGGATGATGGGGGTCATTGATAGTGGGGACAGTTCTGGACATGTGGCCCTCATTCTCTGTGCTGGACAAGATGACTCTGTGACCTGTAATTCCAGGCTGATAGAGCATTTTCAGTGACAGCCCATTTGACTTGATGGTGCTAGTGCAGGACACAGGTGAGCTTGTCTCTGTGTCTTAGGTCTGTCCCAGCAGACGAGCTGACGTGTGTTGTAGATGAATGTCAGCTGGTCACAGGTGGGAGGTTTGGAAGGTAGCCTCCAATCTCCTCTGAGGACTGCAGCAGCGACCGGGGCAGCAGGAACGCATTGTGATGGCCTGGCCAAGTCTGCATAGCGAGAGTCGAGCCACTTTCACGCGCACCTTATCCCACACTTCACCTCCTTCCTCCAGGTTCCCACTCAGAAACCCGCTCACCCCTGGACACACCTCCCAGAGACTTCTCTTTGGAACTCTGCAATGGAGAAACCCATTGCAGACTTCCCCTTCTTTTGGATATCAGTTTGCTTTTCAGGAAGAAAATTTTAATACTCCATATTGAGGTTTTATAATTATATTAGCATGTTGAAACATTTTCTCTAATGGCTTGCTGGTTGAAAACGCTTTCACACAGAGCAGAAACTAGATGGAGATACTGTTTCACAACCTCTGCTTCAGAAGCAGAGGTGGCCTGTAGCTTCCAAACCCGGGCAGAGCACGTGCAGGGATGGTGCGTCTCTGTATCTGGACTCACATTCACATGTGTGCATGTGTAGGGGTGTGTGCATATTGAATTGTAAAAAAGATGAGTACGTGTGAGATTCTGCCTGAGACTCCAGTCCTCAGTGTGTGGCCTGGTGCCGCTGATGCCGAGATGTTGGGCTGGCAGCGATCTGCCTCCGTCTGTCACAGGTGCCTCTACCTGCTGCAGGCAGACGGACGGAGACGTGATGGATTGCGCATATCCCCTTTACAGATTCGGAAGAGTACATTTAAAATAACTTAAATTTGTATTTAGAAGACTTTTCATGGAGAGTATTTATTGTTATAGAGTTCACTTCTGAAATGGTGACAAAGCTTTTGATACTGAATCAAACAAGTGTGAAGTTACCGAATCTCTCTGTTACACAGAGTGGAGCCTTTCAGGCTGGCATGGAGAGCTTAAGGGGCAACTGAAGGAGACACACTGGCCAAGCGCGGAGTTCTGCTTACTTCAGTCCTGCTGAGATACTCTCTCAGTCCGCTCGCACCGAAGGAAGCTGCCTTGGGATCAGAGCAGACATAAAGCTAGAAAAATTTCAAGGTGAGTAAAAACCTGTAAAGATCTGATCAAATCTGACTGGTAGAAATGCCTTTTTCTTGATATAAACCGCTTAATTAAGCCTTTTGGCTTGCCTTTGAAAGATGCTTTATTGAATACTTCCCGGCACAGATGATCTGTTACTGTTGGTTGATTTCTAATCTTACTGCAGCCTTAGCTCACCCATGAGTCCCTCCTGCTTGTTCTGGGGTGGTGCCTGCTGCCCTCCAGTGGCATGTGTGGCACCTGCTGCCCTCCAGTGGCATGTGTGGCACTTGCTGCCCTCTTTGGGGTCAGTTCACCATTTATTGAGTCAGTGCTTCATGCCGGGCACTAGACTTGGTGAAAGCCTTTTACCATCAATTATTATTTTCTTAGGAGTAATTAAAAGAAAATTTTCCTGTAATCCCAGCACATTGGGAGGCTGAGGCAGGCAGATTACTTGAGGCCAGGAGTTTGAGACCAGCCTGGCCAACGTGACGAAACCCCATCTCTACCAAAAATACAAAAATTAGCCAGGTGTGATGGTGCACGCTTGTAGTCCCAGCCTCGGGAGACTGAGGCAGGAGAATCGCTTGAACCCGGGAGGCAGAGGCTGCAGTGAGCTGAGATCATGCCGTTGCATTCCAGCCTGGGTGACAGAGCAAGACTCTTTCTCAAAAAAAAAAAGAAGAACATTTCTTTAGTACTTATTTTTGGCGACTATCTCATGATTCAGCGTCTGCTTTTGAGAGAAGTTGTGACAAATACTAAAATCCCAGTAAAATTAGTATGGTGTCAGATTAATTTACTTATGAGCAGCTGAGTGACTAACTCAGGAAGTCCAGTTGTACATTTCCAGGGAAGCTTTTTCATGGGTTCAGATGAGATGAGGGGAAAGAGAAGGTGTCAGAGGGCTGCTGCTGGCTGGAGGAACGCAGGTGTGCTCCTGTGTCCATTTGCTCTGTGGATACTGACGAGCGCCCACTGGGCCTCAGATGCCCTCTGGGCATGGCAGGGACCAGGCGCTCGCTTGGCAGCTCTCATGTGAGCCGCTCACTGGACACAGCCGTGCTCCCGCCTGGGAGTTCGGGATGGCATGCAGAGCTGTGGGGAGGGAGCGGTCACCAGGGCGTGAGTGTGGACAGATGGGAGTGGCTGGTGCAGAGCCATAGGTAGGGGGCGGTCACCAGGGCGTGAGCGTGGATGGATGAGAGTGGCTGGGAGCCTAGGGGGGACGCCGTCTTTGGGGAGTAGAGACACACCCATGTCTGACTACTGGGTTTTGAGTTTGTGCCAGCAAAGGTCCTGCTTGCCATTTCTGTCTGTAAATGTCAGGAATTTCAGGTAACTGGTTCCCTAGCGAGACCTTTAAAGGAGGCTTTATCTTCAACCGATGCTTTTTTTGGGGGGGTACACAGGCAGTCCAAGTATGGGAAGGTCAAAATCAGGTCACCTTTATCATGGCTTGTGCTGTGGGATGGGATTTTATTTTCAGCCACAGCGCTTCTTCTAGCTTAATTAGTGATAGGAAATCAGCTTCTCTGTAACCAGAGGTTATTGAAAGAATGAGGATCCCAGAGTTGGAATGAGTCTGAAAGAGACGTTGTGGTTTAATATTGCTAAGTTAAGTGTCGATTTGTGACTACCTATTTTTAACATGCCACAGAAGTAAAACATTGCATTAATTATGCCATATATGTGAAATAGCAAGTATTTTTATATAATATAACTGTGCATTGGAGAAATGAATTATTTATAATCCTTTGCACCAATAAATTGTTCTTAAAAGCATAGAAAAAATAATCAGGCCAGAAGGAGATATCTAAAGCATGTGCTGAGAAAGCAAAACTGAAGAGCTGGAAATTATAAAATATTACGACATGATGAGTCATATCTCCTCCTCCTGATTCTGTGTTACTAAATGCTAGCTGCGAATAGAAATCGTGTATTTCCTTTCTTTCATAAAATAAGAGCTAATTTCGGCAGCAAACAGTTTGGCGTGTTATTCTTTTCCCTTTTCAGGGTGGTTTAAATAAAAATAAATAAACATGAAAGATTTTGGCTGGAACATCTTTGGAAGCACGGCCGTCCTCAGCCTCACTGCACTGTCTGGTTTCCCTCTGAGCCTCCCTCCCGGGTCCTGCCTTAGTGCTGTCTGTGCCGTGTAGCCACAGGTCGCACTGCAGGGCTGTGGGGAGTTATTTTTAGTTTCAGGCAGACTCACTGTTTTTGCCTTTCTTTTTGCTTGAAAAGACTGAAGTTATTTCTTGTGTTTTTATACATGAGATTATCTTCTGAGGCTGGAACATCTTGGGGGGATACAATAGATAGAATTCCTATAGTAATTCCCCTGCGCAAGAGGAATTGCTGAGGAGGGCTTCGGGAAACCTTGACTCTTGTTGAAGCCTGGAAAGCTTTCTCAGTCTTTCTCATTGCCACCCCACACCACATCTTCTTTTTGTAACAAATATTTATTAACTCATCTTTTTATTTTAAAATGAAGTTCACAGAAGATATTACCTTATATAATTATAGCCATATAATGTTAAAAAGCAGTGTCATGCTGAAATGTAATATAAAGAGAAACTGAAGATACATAATAAAATAGTTTTCTATGCCACTGTATGGACATTTAGGCACTGCTGCTTTCACTCGGATCACTGAGTGGTGTGGGCCTGTCAGTGCAGGCAGATGTGGGGTAGGTACTGAGCTGGTGACCTGAAAACCATAAGCAATAGAGCTGAGTGGCATTACTTTCTGAAATGGTCAAACCTGAAGGAAGCAGTGTTCAGTCTTCCCTGTCTCTAGGTAGTCTCTGTATTTCTGGAACATTGAGTGTATGTTAAAAGTATAGAAAAATGCATTGTGTCAATCCAAAACTCAGCTGGGCTGGGCTTAGAGAATTATGAGCAGCCTTTCCACCTGCATGGAAGTCCTTTTGTGCAGGACAGTTCCTTGTTTCCGGGGTGGCCCTGCTCCCTCCAGGAGGTTTAGGAGTGCCCATGTCACCATGATGCCTACGCCACTTCTCATGTTGCTACCTGTTGCTACCACCGGGCATCGCTGCCGCCTCCTGCTCTGTGCACAGTGTGGTGTGGCCGCCTGACCGACTGGTCAGGAACTAAAGTTCTCTCGAAGCCTTGACTGAAAGGAGAAGTGAGGAGGGGCATGGAGCCCAGTGCCAAGAGGCAGCTGCGTCTTTAGGGGCTGGCACTTTTCAGAGGGGCTCTTGGGGCCAGAAGGAAAGAGCCGTCATTCAAGGCTTACACAGCGTGGAGGTGCCCTCCCTGGGGTGTCCTGTGTGCTGACCTCTGTCCTGGTGCCTGGCGGTGTCCTGGCGCAGAGCTCCGCAAGCCTCTGCGGGGCTCTTCTCTGTGTGGAGGTTCTCGAGATGGGCAGTCCGGGTGGATGGTCAGGCCAATGAGGGCCTTCGAATGAAGCACATTATTGTAAGGATGCTAATTCTGGATCCTCAGATATTGTGACAAAAACTTGACATTTTTCTTCCTTCAAAGTAATTTATTGACTAAAATAACCAACTGAGCAAAGGTGATGTTTTAGTATCTAAATATTCCAAAAGATTACTGAAATTTTAAAGTAAAAATTTGGCCAAGAACGAGAAGTCTCTGAATGTGCTTTTCTGGCATGACCCCTGTCACCAGGAAGCTGTCAGTGTGGTGTTGGGCCTGATTGATTCGCATCAGCTCAGGTGGCGTCCTATTGGAAGGTCGGCAGTGGGAGAGCAGCTGGCCAGGTCAGAGGATTCATTTCTGTCTGAAGCTTTGTGAGGAACTAAGATGGCTTTTCCAGTAGCCTCTGTCATTCCAGAGAGTTTTAAGATTGCTTTTATTTGTTCTTCTACCCTGGAACTAGGAAGCCAGACCCAAGAAATGTATCCACACCAGGTTTTGCCCATAGTTTTTAAAAATGTTGAATTTCTTTAACTTGAGGCCCTCACAATTTTCTGGGCCCCCATAAGTTATAGAACAGGGACCAGGCCTGCTACCTTGTGGGGGCTGGGTGGGCACTGGCTCCCCAGGGCACAGATCCTTCCTGTGGGTGGGCTTAGGGGATGTGAGGGATTCACTTTCAGATGTGACACTCCAGATGTGGGGTTGGTGGCACATTTTTTTTGTCCGGTTACATCCAAGTAAAAAGGAGGACAAATTCTTACTGAACCTATGCAGTAAACTCCATTGTCAGGAAGAGTAAAGTGTCTTAGCATGAGTGTTCCTGAATTCTGAAAGTTCAGGAGAGTAAGATGTTACCTAGAGAGTGTTTTATTTCAGCTTTGAAAGCAGAGTCTACTGGATTTAGGGCTAGAGATAGACGAAGAAGAAAGAGAAGGGGCTTCTTTGAGCGCACATTAGAAAATACACCATAAAAGAAAATACCGACAATCTTCCAAAGCCACAGTCAGCGTTTCCCTGCCAGCTCCTCCAGTCTTCCTTCCTTCCTGTCTGCTGGGTGGCGGCTCATCTGTCAAGTTTTCACAGTCATGTGCTTCTGGGCGCAAAGCCCTGGTGAGCCTGGCTCGTTTCCCTGGTGGAATCGGACAGTTGTCGAAGGGGTGTCAGCCTCTGTTCAGAAGCCTGAGCCCCTGATTCTGTTCCTTGAAGTGTCAGGAGTTAAGGTGCCTGTATTGAGCAGGGGCTGCCGTTGCTTCTGACTGAGGGTCCTCTTCAGGCCCACTGGCTCTTGGCAGAGCTCAGTTCCTTGTGACCATAGGCCTGTGGCGCTTGGCTCCTGGAGACTGCCCATAGCCCCTGCCCTGTGGCCCTCTTCCCAGCATGGCAGTTTGCCTCTCAAGGCGTATAGGCAGGGTCTCCCCTCTTCCTTTCCTCTCTGACTTCTCTCATCCTTCAGGGGTTTACCTGATCAGGCCAGGCCCACCCAGGAAAATCTCCCTTTTGATGAACTCAGTCAGCTGATGAGATGCCTTAATTGCATCTGTAAAATCCCTTCACCTTTGCCTTATGTAACACTATATCCCATCATGTTCACAGTTCCTCCCGCCTGCAAGGCAGGGGAGTGTACAAGGTGTGTACCCCAGGGGCAGGATGCTAACACTGCACTGACTGAGAAAAGAATTTGTCTTACCTGTACCTGACAGGTGTGTACCTGAAAGAGGTGTGTGCCCGACGGTGTGTGCGACCGATGGGTGTATGCTCGACAGTGGTGTGTGCGCCCACCGGGTGTGTGCCCGACGGTGTGTGCGCCCGATGGGTGTGTGTGCCCGACAGTGGTGTGTGCGCCCGATGGGTGTGTGTGCCCGACAGTGGTGTGTGCGCCCGCCGGGTGTGCGCCCGACGGGGGTGTGTGCCCGACAGTGGTGTGTGCGCCCGACGGGGGTGTGTGCCCGACAGTGGTGTGTGCGCCCGACGGGGGTGTGTGCCCGACAGTGGTGTGTGCGCCCGACGGGGGTGTGTGCCCGACTGGTGTGTGCGCCCGACGGGTGTGTGTGCCCGACAGTGGTGTGTGCGCCCGATGGGTGTGTGTGCCCGACAGTGGTGTGTGCGCCCGCCGGGTGTGTGCCCGACAGTGGTGTGTGCCCGACAGTGGTGTGTGCGCCCGACGGGGGTGTGTGCCCGACAGTGGTGTGTGCGCCCGCTGGGTGTGTGCCCAACAGTGGTGTGTGCGCCCGATGGGTGTGTGTGCCCGACAGTGGTGTGTGCGCCCGCCGGGTGTGTGCCCGACAGTGGTGTGTGCCCGACAGTGGTGTGTGCACCCGACGGGGGTGTGTGCCCGACAGTGGTGTGTGCGCCCGCCGGGTGTGTGCCCGACAGTGGTGTGTGCGCCCGACGGGGGTGTGTGCCCGACAGTGGTGTGTGCGCCCGATGGGTGTGTGTGCCCGACAGTGGTGTGTGCGCCCGACGGGTGTGTGCGCCTGACAGGAGTGTGTCTGACATGGGTGTGTGAGCGCCCGGCAGGGGTACGTACACTCGGGGTGTGTGTGCCTGACGTGTGTGTGTGTCTGACATGGGTGTGTGCACCTGGCAGAGGTGTGTGCGCCCAGCAGAGGCATATGCCTGACAGAGGCGTGGCTTAGTGTTCAGGGTCCATAGTACATGAAGAATCCTACAGATCCCTATGGACAAGGCAGTACAGTAGAATTTGGGGCAAAAGACTTGCACAGATTTTTTTTTTTTTTTTTTACACAAGATGAAATTGAAATGGCCAATGAGCACACCCTCATTCATCCAGCGAGCATTGAGGACCCCCTAGAGGCCAGGCCCATGAGTGATGAAGATCCCGAGGATGAAGACGCCTTGCCAGCCAGGTCAGTGGGTGATGGCATTTGTGGTCAGGGGCACCCAGCACCACACCCCTGGCTGCCGTTGACAGCTGGGTGAGTCCCCTGCTGCCTGGGCAGAGCCACCTCTGCAGATGCCCAGGTGGGTCTCCTGGGGCAGGGACTGGCAGGCTGTAGCCTGTGAGCAGATTCTGGGACCTGAAAGCTAAGGATGGTTTTTACATTTTTAAGGAGTTATAAAACAAACAGAAAAGGAAGAATCTGCAACAGAGACCATAAGTGGTCTGCAAAGCCAAAGGTTTATAGAAATGGGCAGACCTGCTCTAAGGGGCCTGCTTGCTGATGGGGCCTTGTCTGGATTGCCAGTTCTACTAATTCTGGAATTGGAAGTTCTCATGGAGGACTGTGTGCTGGGTAGGATTTCCAGATCCCAAGATGCTTTGGCTGCATTCAAACCCACAGGGCAGAGAGAGCCCTCCGCCCTGTTCCTTGGCAGAGGCCTCCACACTCCGTGTGCTGACCGGCCTGCCAGAATGACAACAACTGTCAGCTGTCTGCATCCTCCTGGCACCCCTTAGTGTGGCTGCATACTGAGGGGAGTTAAAACCATAAACAGGTGGAGAATATCTCCTTCCAGGGAATCTCAGAGGACTCAGTGATTTAAGAGGAAAAGACCAAACTGCTGCTTTCAGCAGGACCACTGTGTGCTGCCTGCCTGTCAGTGCATACAGATACGGGGTCCTGAGTTGGTGACCTCAAAACCGTGAGCGGTAGATAGACAGAGTAGCCCCTAATGAAGCAGAAAGACTAGAAGAGACAGGACCTAATTTAGGTCGAAAAGCAAAGTGAGGCCTCAGAAGATGAAGGCAGAGTGCGAGAAAGGCTTTCTGGAACTGACAAGTCTGCCATCCACATTTCGAAATGTATTAGAAAAATTGGAAAAAAAACATATGAAGTGTAGAATGTCAGCAGAAAGGTGTGGCCACAGTCAAGAGGGCCCTCTGTGGGTCCTGTGGTCCTGGACTGCAGGTGGGCCCAGTGGAGACTGTGCTGCCCCTCACCCTCCCCGGTGGGTCCTCTGTGATGGGGGTGGGTGAAGCTGAGTGCTGTCCTGAAAATCTGACCATGCACAGCCCCTTTCCAAAGACCCTTCTAATTTTAGAGGCCGCCAGCAGCCACGGGACTAGGCAGCATCAGAGCAGGGACACAATGTGAGTCATATGCGCCTGTGTTCATCCTGTGGTGTCCCTGGGCCCATGGGGGTGGGAGGGATCAGAGGGATCGGAGGGAGGGGAGTAAAACCAGGGGAAGGAGTGGAGGACCACGAACTCCCTCCCCTTCTTGGTGGCCAGCTGCTGTGAGGACTCGCTCTCTTAGGACAGGTCCACTGTCTCTGAGCTCTGGTTCTGGCCTCCTGTCAGGTGCCCTCGTGCGGGAATGAGTGAGGGACAGCAGGGCAGGCTTTCCAGGCTTCCAGCAAGCTCTACATGATGGGTGGGGAGACCCTGCTCTTAAAAACATGTGGACCCTTAGCATTCTTCTTCCTCAGACCTGGGGCCTCAGCCTAAGCTGAGATGACAGGGAAGAACTACAGATACACCAGATTTAGGGAAAATAACGTCAAGTGGTGCAGACAAGTGGAACTGCTGCTTGTGAAGTGGGCTGTGGAGTCGTGATGTTTGCTACGCCCGGCACCATGTTTCAGAACCTGTAGCAGCGCTCAAGAGAGAATCATTCCTTTAACAACAAACATGTACTGAGCCCCTGTGGGGAGGCACTGACCGAGGCCTGGGGACAAATGTGGGGACAGACCAGTCCTGTGGGGACAGCTGGCGGGGGTAGAAAACAGTAGAGCTGCCCCACCAGCCAGCGGCTGCTGGGAGAGCAGGGGTGTCCCCGCACCCAGAGGAGGCACCCTGCCGCTCTCCCCCAGGTTGCTTGGTGTGTGCGCTGCAGGGAGAATCCCGCCCCCAGCTGGTGTCCACAGGGGCCAGGGACACTGGTAGGTAGGTGTGGAACAAGGGAGTTTGTGACTTGGGATTGTTTTCTACTTAAAAAATAATCTGAGTAAAGCTTGGTTTAAACAGCATCAAGTTAAAAAAATTCCTAAGAAGTGGTTGGATTCCCAGTTTATATGTGGCTTTAAGGTTCTGAAGAAGTACACAATTAACCACAGAAGTATGACTTGAATAGATAAGAATTTAACAAAATACACACTGTTGGGTGTAAAATCATAAATATCTGAAGTTCTTAGAAATTGGTAATTTTCTTTTAGCTTTGCTGTGCTCTGAGCATGACTAAACTAAAAGTAATGAATCCAGACCTTGAAGACTGGTGTGTGTGTAAAAGGCAAGAAGTGAGAAGATTCACGTGTAGATCCAGGACAATCTGAATTTACTTCTGTTCAGTAGTTCCCAAAGGCTTTTTCTACATGGAGGGACTCGGAGTGACACAGCAGCTCCCTCTTGTGGGCAGATTCCCCTGTGTAAGGTGCTGGAGGCTGAGGTTCCAGCCTGCAGCCGCTTGTGATCCTGATATGTCGAGAGTTCTGGAAGACTGATGACTGCTGACCCCCTTCTTAACCTACGCCATCGCCATGCTGGTGGTGGGGATGGGGCTCTTGGCCATTCCTGCCCCTTGGCTGCCCTTCCTTGGTCTGAGGGTACGTGGGTGGCCCTTCGGGTGTGCCAGGAGCTTTGTGCTTTAGTGACCAACAGTCCCCTGATGTGTGAAGGCCCATCAATCCGATTTAAAATAAAACATTTGAAGTCTCTTCAGAGGACGGTGTGAGGATGTCTGCGTTCAGTGATGGAGCTTGGCCTCTGCCTTGCCCCTGATTGAGGCTCTGAGGGTTCAGATACAGTCTCTGCCCACTGCATGTGAACAGCCTGGTGGGTGTGGAGGGGAGGAAGCCTGTGATGATGGTGGCACTGTGAGGAAAGTGGGGATGGAAGGAGGTGTGCCCAGGAGGCAGGGCAGGAGAGTTCATGGATGTAGGGTTGCAGCAAGTCTGGAAAGCTGGGTTTGTTTTCCAGGGAGATGGCATGGGAGGTGGGCACCCCAGGCAGGAGGGGCTCTGGATATGACTCCAGAAGCCTGGTGGGCTGGAGGGGAGGGAGAGGCTGGGCCTGCTGGGGGCAGGAAAAGGGCAGACCTGTGCTTAATTTCAATTTCTATGGGAGTGATGCCCTCAAACTTAGAAGGGCTTTTGATGAGAAGCGATAGAGTATAGCTCTTGCCCTCCTCAGTGGCATCACTGATTTTTTAAAATGCATTTTAGATATTTGTATTTCTATATTAATTAGTATTAGGATTGGCTATAAGTGACAGAGATGCAACATAATAGGAGCTTAACCAAGAGAAAGGGCTGCATCCTGCACTTGCTATTGTTTGATTTATGAACTTTAGACATTAACTGTGCACTGTTAGTTCACATGGAGGAGGATTTAGCTCCGTGACGTTTCTCCAACCTTCTTTTCCTGTATCATTTAGGATTGATTCTGGGTGAAGGTCACAGCATGACTCACAGTATCTTACACACCTTGGATGTATATACGCACTTCTTATGTCGTAAGTAATCCAGAGGGAGGAGTTTGCTAGAGCTAGTCCAGAGTTCAGCCATCTTAGGGCTCTGGGTGAGTATCGCTGCAGTACAGCAGCAGCAGCTTTAGACACCACTTCTGTGTTTAAGGCAGGAACAACTGAGAAGGAGCAGGCCGTGGAGCTCTTGTCTATTCCTTTTGTCAGAGACATTGTGGAAGCCCTCAGCATATTTTCACCTGTCTTTCACCAGAACTGTGTCTTTCTCCTTGGCAAGAAGTGTGTTTTGTGGCCAGCTTTAGTCACAAAAGAGACAGAAAATGAGCCTTTCATTTTTGTGGCACCCTTGGTAGAGGGGTAGGGGAAAGGGCTTCAGGACGAGCACTGGATCAGCTTACCAAGCCTGAAACCACGCCCCCTGCTGGTCATCCTAGAGACTGAGTGGCCCATGTGCTCGTGGCCTGTGGGCCCTGGGCGGCCTCTCAGTTTCCTGCATGGAAGGCAGCAGAAGCACTTATCTGGCCCTCAGCTCCTCGGTGGTGTCAGTTTGTCTGACCTCTGTCAGTTTGTTGTCTTCTTTTTTTTTTTTTTTTAAGACAGAGTCTCGCTCTGTTGCCTAGGCTGGAGTGCAGTGGCACAATCTTGGCTCACTGCAAGCTCCGCCTCTCGGGTTCAAGCGATTCACCTGCCACAGCCTCCTGAGTAGCTGAGACTACAGGCGCATGCCACCATGCCTGGCTAATTTTTGTAGTTTTTGTAGAGACGGGGTTTTGCTGTGTTGCCCAGGCTGGTCTTGAACTCCTGGGCTCAGGTGATCCACCCATCTCAGCCTCCCACTGTGCTGGGATTACAGGCGTGAGTCACTGCTCCCAGCCTTGTTTGTCTTCTGTGTTACCAAAGTAGAAAACTTCTTCTGTTCTGTAACCTTGGTTCAATCAAAGTTCCAAATTCATAAATGGCACTTATATTATTATGACGATTGCTGAAAGTCATGCCACAGTTTAATTTGCTTTATACTTGGATTTGGTATACTTGATTTTTTGGTTCTGTTTTCTCTTTTTCCTGATTTCCTTGATTTTTTTGGTTCCGTTTTCTCTTTCTCCTGGTTTCCTTGATTTTTTGGCTCCGTTTTCTCTTTTTCCCATATTCTTGCCTGGCATGGAGTGGTAGAGCAGAGTGGGGAATGGAGTTGAGTTTGGATCCAGCGGTCGAGCAAGTGTCTCAACTCCCATGCTCAGCTTCCTCCTCTGTCACGTGGGGCAGGGAAGGTGCCTGTCGGGCGCAGCGAGCGTGGTGAGTGGTAGTGTGGGGCCGCGTGCGCCCGTGGGCCCTGAGCATCAGCACTTCTGCCTCTCCGTGTTCTCTTGTTGAGAGGGACCACTGCCTTTCTTATGCTATCGCCAGCCTTTTCCAGCTTATTCATTCTGTTTCTTGGAACCCATTTAATTCATTCTTCTTGAAATATGTGTATTTTCTATTTTATTTCAAATTGAGACTTACCTTTCTTATAGAATTTGTTTTCTTCTGGGATCTCTTGATTTTTTTAAAATTGGATTTACTGAGGTAAAATGTACAGACAATAAAACTCTTTTTTTTTTTTTTTTTTTTTTTTTTTGACACAGAGTTTCGCTCTTGTCACCCAGGCTGGAGTGCAATGGCATGATCTCTACTCACTGCAACCTCTGCCTTCCAGGCTCAAGCGATTCTCCTGCCTCAGCCTCCCTAGTAGCTGGGATTACAGGCGCCCGCCACCATGCCCGGCTAATTTTGTATTTTTAGTAGAGATGGGGTGTTGCCATGTTGGCCAGGCTAGTCTCAAACTCCTGACCTCGGGTGATCCACCCACCTCAACCCAGCCAAAAATCATTCTTCTAAAGTGTGCACTCTAATATATTCTGACAAATGTATGCCAGTGCCACACCACCAAGCAGCTGAGGTAGAGAATATTCTTACCCCAAAAAGTTTCCTCTTACCCCGTGCAGATGTCCTACCCATCAGGGCCCAGGGCGACCTTGTCTGATGTTGATGTCCCATCAGATGGTTTGTATTCAGCAGAGCACCTAGACCAGGCTGTGAGGTACAGGTCCGCCCCTGGCAGCCCATGCCTTGTAGCTTCTGGGTGGCTCCTGGCTTGGTTGCTGTGGTGTGGAGCGTTGAGTGACCTCTGCAGAACAGCAGATGGTGCTGTAGGGCCGCTTCTAAGACTCAGTGGAGGAGGCTCAGTGGCGTTCTGAGCGGTGGCCACCAGGACAAACCTCTTGTCTTTACACCATCTGTGTGTGTGTGCGTGAGTGTATGTGTGTGTGCATTCCAGTGTGCGTCCAGAAGCCAGTTTCCTTCAGAAAGCTTTCTGTTCCCTGGCTTCATTTTTACCATTTAGAGGACCTGTGAAGCAATGAGATGGAATACTTATAGCTGGTTTAATTCAGTGAGTGATCTGAATTGTAAATAAAATTTTATCAAGTAATTTATAAATTTGATATAATAAATTAAGTCTGCGGAAGGGGCTGATTGTGTTATGGAATGAGAAGTTTTGTACATCTTTTGCAATTCTAAAAATTGTGGCCAGGTGTGGTGCTCAAGCCTATAATCCTAGAACTTTGGGAGGCTGAGACAGGAGGATTGCTTAAGCCCAGGAGTTTGAGACCAGTCTGGGTAACATGGTGAACCCCTGTCTGTACAAAAAATAAAAGTAAAAATAAATTAGCCAGGCATGGTGGCACATGCCTGTAGTCCCAGCTACTCGAGAGGCTGAGGTGGGAGAATTGCTTGATCCCAGGAGACGGGTGGCAATGAGCCAAGATTGTGCCAATGCACTCCAGCCTGGGCGACAGAGCGAGACCCTGTCTCAAAAAAAAAAGTTGTGACTTTGCTGTGTAGTCTTTGTGTAACATAATTTTATGATTCTATTGTTTTAAGCTTAATATTCCAAATAGGTAATAATTATGTTAAAATGCAAAAAATTAGCCTATACTCTCATGATCTAAATATGTAGTAGTGGTTTTACAGAATATATTTCAAAGGATTGCCATTCTGTTTTATTTTTAGTAGCCAGTTATAGAAAGCATTATTTTTAAATAATGCCTAAGAATCTTTAAAGAAATACCTGTCAATGTATGTTCCAGTTTAGTATCAAATTTATATTCAGAGCTCATAAGAATTTAAAAAGTTTCCCAGAGTCTGTAAATGGGGATGGAGCTGTCCTTCAAGGGTGATAGTCCCCCTAGGTTTGAGTTGTCCTCTGCTGCTAGCATAGTACCACCTGAGCTACCTGTGGGCCACCTTCACCACCCGTGGGTCCCTCCAGCCACCCCAGGGACACCTTAGCCTCCCTGGGTCGCCTTAGCCACCCCTGGGCCATGTTAGCCACCACAGGATCACCTTAGCATCCCTGGGTCACCTTAGCCACCCCAGGGTCACCTTAGCATCCCTGGGTCGCCTTAGCCACGCCTGGGCCATGTTAACTACCACAGGATCACCTTAGCATCCCTGGGTCGCCTTAGCCACCCCAGGGTCTCCTTAGCCATCCCAGGGCCACCTTAGCCACCTGTGGGTTACCTCAGCCACCAGTGAGTCACCTTAGCTACCCCAGGATCACCTTAGCCATTTGTGGGTCACCTTACCCACCCTTTCACCTTAGTCACTCATGGTCAGCTTAGCTGTTTGTGGGTCACTTAGCCACCCCTGGGCCACTGTAGCCACCTCTGGGTGTCCTTAGCCACCCCCGGGCCACCTTGGCCACTCTGGGTCACCTTGTCTACCCCTGGGTTACCTGAGCCACCCTTGGTCACTGTCTGTGGGTGCTTGCTTGCTTTAAGCCACATTATGCTACTGCAGCTAATTAAGGTCGCTCAATTCAAGTGTCTCCTTTTTTTGGGCTCCTGCCTTCTTTTTGTTTTTCAAATCGAACACCCGCTATACTCATTTGAGAAGTGTAGACTTTGATTTTTAACCCTAAGTTGCATGGTAAAGTCACCTTTAAAGCCAATGGAAAAAGCTTAATTGAATTCATTTGTTTGAAGAAGTAGAGGAATGTTGCAAGTAGACTGAAAGTTATACTTAGTCTGTTCTGTTTGAAACCATTCTCATTCAGAAAACAGAAATGTGTTTATGTAAAGAAATATGTTACTTGACTTAATATTGTAAGGAATCTTAATTGAGAAAATAAGTAGTTGTGTTTTTTCTTTAACTGGGCAGCATTGTAGCGGGGTGGAGTGTGGGTCCCCAGGTTGGAGAGCTCTGGATTTGGAGTGGATCCTAGCACATGGCCACCATGTGACCTTGGGCAGTGACTCAGCCCAGCTGGCTGCCAGGCTGCTCCCCATGAGGTGGTGGGAGCCGTGTGGGATCTGCCTACTGGGTGTGCAGCTGCTGCGGCCTAAGCGGCGTCCTTGCTTGGTCCCCCCATGAACTCAGGGGTGTGGCCTGGCTCCGTCATGTGTTTTGCAGGGGGATCTGAGGGGCCCAGAAGGTAAGAAATTGCCTACGGCCCTTGGCTAATAGAAGAGGGAGCAGGGCTTTGACCAGGGGGACCAGCTAGTGACTCTGTGCTGGTTACTACTTTACCAACACCATGGCCATGCTGCACAGCTGTGCAGCCTCCACCCACAAAGGCCAAAGCTCCAATGGCATCTGCGATGCTTGTAAAACAAGTAGCAGCCGTGTCCAGCCTGCTGCTCTGAAACCTCAGTCTCCTTTACTGAGATTTGATGATGTTTAAATGAGCAAATGCATGTGTAGTGATTGGCAGGTGGCCATCGCTCAGCCGACTTTTCCTGTGCCCTCTGCTTCGGCAGGTGCCCTTCCTGGCTCCCTGCTTCTTCCTCTCCTAACCTCCTGGCACTGTGCTCCTCACTCAGGAATTGCACCCAGCATCACCTCTGCAGGTGAGTCCCACACCTTCCCCCTGCTCTCCAAACTCAGACCCCAAGTCCAGCAGCATCTTCTCTCAGGCATCTATAGACCTCCACAACTTAAGACATCCAAATTCTCATTCCCTTGCCTTGCCATAATCTTCCCATCTCAGCAGCTCCTTCCTTCCAGGCTCTCAGGCTGAAGGTGGCCTATCCTTTCTTTTCTATCCCACATGGCAGCCAGGAGGCCTGTGGGCGGTGCCTTCAGGACATGCCTCTTGTGCCCCTGTCCCCTACTCTGGCCTGAGTGTTCCTTTTAAAACTAGGTCAGAACTAGATTAAAGCCCGTGTCCAAGATGCTGCCACAGTCTCTTGCCACCATATGACTGCCATGTCCTCACTGTGGCCCAGGAGGTCCCATGTGCAGAGCCGCTGGACCTCCGTCTCCTCTCACTCTCTGTTAACTGTGCTGCTGTCAGACTGGCTGCCTGGCTGTTCCTGGGCGGTTTCAGGTGCTGCGGCTACCTAGAACCTTCCATCTTCCTTTCTTCACTCTTCCCAGAAGAGAACACTCTTCCCAGCTGTCTTACGGCCAGCTTCCTCACCACCTCGCTGCAGTCTTTTCCGCAATGGCATCGCCACTACTGCCCTCCCACATCCAGCCATCATCCTAGAATAACAGCCACTGTTGTCCCCTGACACTTGACGGCAGTTCATCTTTTATGACCCCCATTGTCCCCATTGTCAGTTGTCTTTTTTTTTCCTTATTAGAACATAAGCTCCAGGAAAGCAGATGTTAACGTCTTTGTTCACTGATGTATCTCAGGCATTTAGGACAGTACTGGTACATAGTAGATGCTCAGTAAATAGTTAGATGAATGAATATTTGCTACTTTTCTTATTGACAGACATTTCTGAGGTACTTTAATATTACGTTAAGTAATGTTACAATTTCCCATGTGTTGATTTTATGTAAATAATGAGTAAATTACTCTCATAGAGATTTTAGAATTCTAATAAACTCATATTTCCCCTTCTTATAAGAGTAGAAAAATGCTTTTAAGAGTTTTCCTAAATTAATATTCTGGGAACATTAAATTTTAGAACTTTACTCTGAGGGCATAGATAAAAATAAAATTAATTAGATACCAGGAATGTCAGATGCTAAATGGTGTATGGCTATTTGTGACATTCTCCTAGAATTAAACAGTTATTAACTTGCAAAGACATGGCAGCTGAAGTCAGAAATTGATGAACTTTTAAAGTTGGGAAAAAAAGAGCTTTAAGGTATCTTATTAAAATTGTAAACTGTCAGTTTAATCATCATAGAAACCATACCTGATACAGTAAATCGTTGCTATTCTGCTTTGAATTTCTGGATTCTCATGAATCAGACATTCTATTTTTATGTTTCTCTTCAATAATCCTAAAGGTGGAAGAAAGAAATGGGAAGAAAAAGGAAGAGAACCATAGCTACGTTGTGAGGGCATTGCTTCAACTCTGGTAACTTCATGTGAAATGACTACAAAATGAATTAATATGCAGTAAGAGAGCCAGTGCCCCACCAGGGCACCTTTCCACTTGCTGGCACACAGATTTACCACAATTAGGATACTGCTTGTCCTGTCATGCCGGGAGAGTCTAAATTACTCTGACTTTCAAGAAACCAAAAATATGCATTTTTGATGTTAGGAAGATTTACTGTGCATTGGGCTGTGTCATTTGATGAGGAAAAAACCAAATGATCTCTTTATGAAAATGAAGGTAAAATATATGTAAATGCCATTTTAATCTAACTTTTTATATGAATGTAGAACAAATATCAAACAGGATTATACAGTGTGATAGTCAGGAAAGTAGCATGCTTTTGTGTTTTATAGACTAGTCTAAAAGGAGCCCCAGTAGACTTGGTATTGTTAAACCAAGGAGATCTTGAGAACTGTTCTGTCTCCCTTGTGCCCATAGAATTGTAGCCTGTGGAGGTGACCAAGGAACCAGATCCCAAGAGGCCTCTGCCACTGAAAGGAGATTTTTATTACTTGCGTTTCCTAGACGGGGGGGCACTCGCGCCAAGCAGGCCCACGGGGCACACTGGTGTCAGTCAAGGGGCAGAAAGGAGCCACAGGAAAGCCCAGGACAGAGCCTGAGTGGGGTTTCTGTGGGAAAGGCAGGGCAGGGCACCCGTGTAGGAATGGCTAGTGTGAACAGTTCCAGTGGGCCCTGGGCTGTAGGAGAGATCACTAGCTGCCTGCTACCAGGCCCTGGGGTGATTTCGGGCAGGCGGGCAGTTAGATAAGGGAGGTGGGTAGAGCCGACCACCTGCCTGGAACCCTGTGCTGGCTATAAGCCCTGGGAGGGCCAGTCTCTCCCTGTGTCTGTAAGGCCCACAAATGCCAAAGCATTAGGAATAAGAAAATGGACGTAATAGAATTGATCCTGTGAGGACTGGATGCCTAACTGCCACATACAGAATGTGAGAAAGCACAGAACAACTGCCTTCATTGACAAGATGGTGCCCAGAGCTCAAGACAGGCACACAGCAGGAGGATGCCGGCAGGATCCCTCAACAAGCTTACCGTGGTATCTTTCACAATGTTAACTGTCATCCCAGATGAACTTTTAATGACAGTGTATCTCTGAAGATTGTGCTTTTAGCGTATTTTCACTTAAAGTCATATCTCATTTAGTAGACCTGCCAGATTCCTGAAAAGTTACACACAAGCCAGCTGACATGACCTTTGCCAGTCATGTTGACCACGTTCTCACCGAGCTGTGGACTCCTCACTAGGAGCCTTTACCTACGGCCAGATGGCTGTTGTCACTGCCTGTGGTGGGGTTACGGTTTCGGACTCACCTGATCCGTTCTGCCGGGATTACCTACGGCCAGATGGCTGTTGTCACTGCCTGTGGTGGGGTTATGGTTTCGGACTTACCTGATCCGTTCTGCCGGGATTACCTACGGCCAGATGGCTGTTGTCACTGCCTGTGGTGGGGTTATGGTTTCGGACGCACCTGATCCGTTCTGCCGGGATTTTAAAGTATGGGAGTTTAGGCATACTTTGCAAGTTGTTTCTTGAATATACTTTTCTGAATTATGGCTTGCTATACAAGTTTTGGTCTTTTAAGGTAAGAGTTACAATGGAGATGGGGAAATTATACTTTTCTCATTTCAAGGAAAGCAACAGTCATGAGTTATGCATCAGTTGGGAAACGGGATGATAGGAAGTTGCAAGGCAACCTGGTTTCAGCCGGACCGGGACTCTCCCGGGGCTGCGTCCTGCTAGAGCTGGCAGGACACAGAATACCACTAGCAGCCTCCCTGGGAGTGGCTTGGCGTCTTGGCCACCTCTTTCCACGGATGTGGTGGATGTGGGGGTAAACTAGAGAGACTAAAGCCCACTATTGGGCTCAGCTTCCTGTAGAAATCAAATCAGATGAAAACCCTGACCCAGAGGGAGAAGGCAGAGAGTTGGACTTTTGAAAACGTGAGTGTGTCCAGCAACCAGGCAGCAACAGTCCTTGTTTTTATCGAACTTCTATAAGCACTTTATTTCTCCAGAATAATTTCATCATAAAGAATCCAGAGCTCAGACAGCTCTTTACCATCTGTCTTTTCCTTTTTTCTTACCCTGTGTTTGGCTTGATCTGGACTGCACTTAACCATGACAATGTTAAGTGCTTTCTTCTGGGTAAAAATTCTGGCTTCTTCTCCAGAAATTCTGGCTCCACTTCTCAAATTGTTTCTGTCCCTGTTAGGAGACCCCTGGGGCCTCGGCTGGAGAGACAGTGCAGCTAGTCCCAGCAGCCACTGTGCTTGGGCCTGGCCAGCCCCTCCTCAGGGGTCACGGCACTGCTCACCTGGTGACTAGGTCTTCTCAGCCAGATCAGTTCATGTGCTCTGGTGTTTTTGAGCTTCTGGCTAGTCCTCAGTTTCTCAGACCTGGTTAATCACAGTGTGGAGTCATTTTTCATAACTGTGCACCTCACTTGTTTGATGCATGGCAAGGGAATAATTAAATTAATAAACCTACAGATATTCCCCCTTACAGTTTTCAAATACAGTAAGTGAATTTCTACTATAAAATAGGTCCAAAGAGGTTTTATTGTTTCTTATTTGAAATAATTAAAGAACATTTATGTTTCCCTTTTGTGGTTTCTTGGTTCTAATCCTGTGGGTTGCTTTTGACGTCCTCTGTTGGGGATACACTGTGCATCCGTATTTAACAGGAGATCCCGAACTCCCAGCAGGGAGCTAAGCACAGATGTGTGCACAGATGCGTGCTTAGGTAAGGATTTTGTGCAAGGTGACTTGTAATATGAAACTGTAAAACGTGCTACCTTAGACTGGAGAGAGAAGGGGGTGGTCTGATGTTTTCCACACGCCTCTTTTACCAAAATGGGTCATCTTATCTGTCTCAGGCCAGGCCCCCGGGGGTGCACAGGAACAGCACAGCTGCAGTGAAGGAGGGGCTCCTGCAGCCGGGCTGGCCCCAGAGCTGTGGGTCGTGCCCCGCGTGTTGCTCAGCGCGTTCTGCAGTTGCCCTGGCCTTAGTCCCCCATCTCGCTGTGATAGCCATGCAGGTCAGCAACTGTGAGCCTTCCTGGCTCCCACGCTGCCCCCGGCACCTCTCTCTGTTTCTGCTCCCAGCATCCTCTCAGCTTCTCTTCTGAGCCCCACGCAGCGGTTCCTGCTTTACCAGCACCACTTCTCCTCTGTCACCGAGAGAGAGCAAGAGGCTGCCGCGCCTGTGCCAACTGCCTGGTGAGGCTCCGTCGAGTGATGTGCAGGGCCTTGCGGTACAGCCCTCTCGAACTCACCCCACCAGAGGCCTGTCGGCATCACTGTCAGAAACAGGCGTTCTCCCCTCCCAGCCCCCGTCACAAGCTAAGCATCTGTGAGAACGGAGGCTCTGCTTCCCCGAGGATCCTGCCCCAGACGTGGGGGCAGCCTTTGCAGACAGCTTCTGTCCCACTCACCTCCTCCTTGGTTTTCACTCCTTTATGCCCTCACGGACCTGCCCACCAGTTCCCAAGCCCTCAGGGCCATGGCAGCCTCCGTGAGGGTGTGAGCTGGGTAAAAGGAATTAAGGTGGAGTCACAGCTACCAGTGGCTGATTGCCCGTGGGTGTCAGGCTGGCCCTAGGTGCCCCATTGCTAGTTCACTGTCCTGGGACGGCCCCAGTATTGTCAGCATTGAAGGAAAGAATCCGGACAGGCAGCAGAGGCTCCCACCTGATGACACTGAGGCTCCTGCCTTAGCACCAGGGCCTGGGCTCCCCTTTGCTGTAATGTCGTAAAGTATGTCAGGAAGGTTTGCCCATGACCTGGTGGAGAGAGAAGAGATGTGACAAGGCGACTCTGGCTTGTGTATCCCGCCCACAGGGGAAGCTTGGAGGAGTCGGTTTGTGAAAAATCAGGGCTCTGAGGGCACTGGAGCTGGTGCTGAGTTCTGCAGCAGTCAAGAAGTAGAGCAGAGCTGAAATCCTGGCTGCTCATGGGCATCACAGATGCATTCGCCAGCAGCTGGGCTCGGCTTTGCTCTAACATCCGCCCCTCCTCTGGGAGCGTTGTTTCTCTACTCCTGGCTGCCCAGCCCAGCTCCCTGGCCTGGCGAGATCTCTGCATCATTTCTTCTCCCCAGCTTCTCTCTCCACCCATGCCGCCATGGGAGAGTTTAGGCTGTCTCGTCCCTGACTGGCCTGAGGTAGGGCTGTGACTGTCTCCTTTTCCCTCTCTCCTGTCTTCCTCACCTATGCCCACATAATCAGTCCACCTTCCTTACTGCTGGATGCAAACCTGCTGAGTCTCTATGGCTTTCAGGATGGAGTTCAAAGACATCACCTCAGCGTGAAAGGCCCTTTCAGGTCTGGCCCGGCACAACCCTGACACCCGCATGTTCCTGGGTGCAACAACATGGGGCCCCAGGGCAGCTTCCCATGATGCATCAGCCTCTGCTGGCTCCTGATGTGGCCTCTGTTCCTGTCTTAGGCCCCTATTCCTCTCGGCAGGCTCCACACTTGCCTTACTCTATCTCAGAAGCTCATCCTGACACCAGCTCTGTCCTCTGTACTGGGAACATGGAGCAGAAATCCATCACGGCTGCTGATCCATGCATGCTGATGAGTTGCTGGCTGCCTCCTTGTGCACAGCATCTGGGGGCACTCAGGTGGCCCTGCTGTCTCTGGGCCTGTCCCTGACACTGGCAGGGGTTGGGGCACCAGAGTTCAAATGGGGGCCGCATATCTTGTCTAAATCTTCCAGAGTTTTAAGTCAAGCCAGTGCACTATTGATACAATATGTTGTGTCTTCTTCTTTGACAACTACATCTTCAAAATGGAAAAAATATGTGGGGACCTATGGTTTTTATATGAATTAATGTTGGCAAAATATCAAAGACCACTGAATTTAACTGTTAATTTAACTGTTATCTAGGTGTTCTGTTCAGAGGCCACTCATGTTTGAATGAGTAACAGGATCAAGACATGATTTATCAATAAGTGCATATATCTCCCATAACATTGATTATTTTGTTTTTATTTCTGCAAATGACTAATCATGTTTTATATTAAGCATTTTCGGATAATGCTTGTTCTGTTGGTGCTCACGGCCTAATGCGGGGCTAGCGCACAGCGGCCTACATCCTGTTTTTTGTGCAGTGTTTACAGTTTTTAAAGAGTTGTTAAAAAATAAAATAGTGCAACAGAGACATGGCCACGAAGTCTAAAGTACTTACTCTTTGCCCCTTTACAGAAAATGTTTGCTACCACTTGATCTAAAGGATTAAAAAATAAAACATGTCATTGGGCCAGATGCGGTGGCTCACGCCTGTAGTCCCAGCATTTTGGGAGGCCAAGGAGGGCGGTTCACCTGAGGTCGGGAGTTCGAGACCAGCCTGACCAACATGGTGAAACCCCGTCTCTACTAAAAATACAAAAGAAATTAGCCAGACGTGGTGGCGCACGCTACTTGGGAGGCCAAGGCAGGAGAATCGCTTGAATCCAGGAGGTGGAGGTTGCAGTGAGCTGAGATCCTGCCGCTGCATTCCAGCCTGGGCAACAGAGCAAAACTCTGTCTCAGACAAACAAACAAACAAAAATGTCATTGAATTTGAAGTATACAAAATTTGAATATCTTTCTATCAAAAATTTGAATTTTAAGGAAATAACAAAGCAAAAATTATAATTTTTTGTGTTTTCAAAAAATTATTTTTTCTAAATTATTAAGTTATAAGATATAAAGTAGTTAATGTGAAATGTTTAAATCAAAATTGTTTAAAGCTGAGTTTTAAATTTAATACTTTGAAAATTTAGTTAAATCATATTAATAATTTTATAAGAAATAAAACTATTGATAATTCTGATGTCTGACATCTGTCTGATTGCTGACATGGATCCTGAGTCTTACAGTGTTTTGAGGGCCTCCAGCTACATTGGGGTTCCAGTGCCAGAGTGGCTGGCAGCCCCACCCTAACGAGAAGTGAAGGGGCTGGGCATGCTGTTTCCAGTGCTTTCATGAGATGCTGCTTTGCCTGGCGGTCGGGCCTGATGTCTCGTTGTTCCACCTGTGACCAAGGGGTCCCTCTGGAAATGTGTGTGTACTGACACATGCCCTGGTGGCTCTTGTCTGATCCATGTCCAGGTTATTCCTGCCTGACCGTCACTCGTGCCAGGAGCCCAACACAAATTCAGGCACAAATTCAGTACACCACACAATGGGGGAAACATGTTCAAAGATTTTTACTTACAGGTCCTGAGCAGGGAGGGTGCCATGAGTCAGGAGGGCAGTCCTCTGTCCCTGGGTCATGCAAGCAGGAACAAAGGGTCAGGCAGAGAGAGAGAGCACTGCAGCCAACCAGCAGAACAAATAAGGGAGTAGGGTGGGGTCACTTGAAGTGTGTGGGCAGGTGCCTGAGTGAAAGATGCCTCTAGGTTCTCATCTCTGGTACTGGCTTGAGCCACTGGGTGTGGTGTAGAACTACAAAGTGTCAGGGGTGGCTGAACTCTGCCGCTACTAGGAGAAAGTGCAGCTCATATTCCAGATAGATGCTGAGGCAATAGAAAATGAAAAGAATTCACTATGCTTACGCAGAGTGTGTCTGGACACACACAAATTTAAGAGTAATAAGAATTGCTTAATATGGCATAATTTCCTTAGGTGCCATGTGCAGTTGTCACAAGCATTGCACTAATTGGAATAATGAATTAGAAAGTGGATGTTGGTCATTATTAGGAAAAGGTACTTTGTTACACGAGACAGTAATTGCATTGTGGCAAGAGAAAGAATCTGACTAATTAATTTGTCTTTTTTTTCTTTTGCCTATGAGTGCTTCTTCTGCTTGACTCCTCCCCATAATCGGACTCCTTCCAAGACAGCCTAATCTTCAGGGCATTTGGATGCAGCTGCCTTTTGTTCCAGAGACACAGGCCATCTCAGGGGAGGTATCTCCCTGGGGCCTGAACAGCGTTTTTCTAGACAAGAGGAGGCTGAGGGCTGTGGGTTCTGCTTTGCCAGCCCTGAATGCTGGATCCCGAGTGGCAGAGGCACCAAGTGCTGTATGATGTGTGTATGTGATGTGTGTGCATGTACATGTGTGTGATGTGTGTCCCTGCTCGCCCCAGGCTGGCCATGGTACTGTGCTAGTCACAGACTGGCTGTGCTGATCAAGCCAGGCACAGTGGAAAATGGGAAGATGTTGGCGTTTGCCCCTCCCTTGGCTGTGTGTCATTCACCTGGGGCATGAGCTGTGCCCCTGCTCTGCAGTAATGAACAAGGCAGGTCAGCATTGGTCCGAGACACGTGAGTTAAGAGAGGAGGAAGAGCACTCTCTGGGGGCGGGGGGATCCATTTGTCAGTGGCCTGCAGTTTCCTGTCCCAGGGATTTCACTGGTGACATCCTGACCACTCACCTGCACTTTATATGGAGCTGTTTTCATCAGCTGGCGTCTGCTGAGCCTCTGCATTGTGTTGTGTGGTAGCCTGTTACTTTTTGCAGTTTTATTTTCTAAACTGTACTCTTTTATTGATAGATTTTTTGTATTAGGATTTCCATTTAAACAGGACTTTGGTACGTCTGCTGTGGGAGATTTGTTTCCCTAGAAGATTCACGGCTGTCGTTCTCTCCCCTCTGCTCGTGGTGTTTTACTGTGACTGCGCTGAACGGTTAGCTGTCACATGTCATTCTCTGGGTGGTGTGCTCTGAAGTCATTGTGGTGTGTGGGCCCCTTCAGCCTAGTTCTGCCTAACTGCGGCATGATGAATGGGCCCGAGGCAGAGGAGGAGGCTCCCTCGTCGGTAGGGGCTGCTGTTGTCGCAGCTGCCGGCACACGGAAGTGAGTCGGTGTGCTGCTGCCCCGAGTGACTGAGGGACAGAATGAGGCTGGGGCCGGCCGGACTGGCATTGGCGTGTCTGCATGGCGTCGTCCACCACTGGGCCTTTGCACATGGGGACCTTTTTCAGCATCATGGGGCGTCGGTATAAAAGGAGGCGCAAGAAGCGCTCTGAGAGGAAAGGTAATTCATTTAGTTTTTATTCTTCAGTGTGAAGCATTTGTCTTTAATGCAATACAGAAGTGTTTTCTGGGATAGACGGCTTTGTGAATTAATCTTGCTGATGCCAGTTACTTCCTATTTTCCCTTTTTGAGTGCCTTTTTTGTTGTTGGCATTTTATAGAATTTTAGATAGGGGCACTTAAAAAGGAAGATTCAAAAACATGTCTGTAAACATGAATAGAAATCATTTAGCTTCAGAGTCTGGAGTATGTCTTTGGAAAGATATTTATAAAACTTTAAAGTTTGTAGCTTTGAGCTACAGAAAAGGTTTTTCTCCCAGAGACAGATGCTTATATGAGATTTCCTTTGCCGCACTCTTCATTAATGACTTTTCTACATTAAAACTGTTCTTCATGCTGCAGAAAGCAAGGCTGAGCAACCATTGTGAAAATATTTCCCCTTTAAAAGAATGGAGAGCAAATTCCTTACATTCTGCACTCCAGGTTAATACCAGTTTTTAATTCAACTTAATGTTTTAAGTCATTAAAATCTAGATTTTTTTTCTCAAAACCAGATTCAAAAGTTGTCCATGACTATACACATCACAAGCTACTGGTTTTTGGACCTAAATTGCTGCTTTAAAAGCTGTTGATGTTTTTTTTTTCTCTTTGTATAATATGAAATAATTAATAGAAAATGCCTTAGTGAAAAGATGTGTCTAGCCCGGAGAACAGCTGAACACAGGCGTGATCAGTGCCTCTGCCTCTGTGTCTTCTGGGCGCCCCCTTAGTGTCCCCCACCCGACAGGACTGGAGTACAGCGCTTCACCACCACAGGGCCCTTGGGACATGCTGTGGCAGGAGATGGCTGTTTCTTCAGGAAGTAAAATTAACCTCGGTTTTTTGGTGTGGCTTCCTAAGAAGAAGAACAGATGAATCTCAAAGTCAGCAATCTTGTAATAGTACCTTGTAATATAACAAAGGTGACAGCACCTAATGGAAGTCTGTGTCTGGGAGTGGGGAACCCCTGACCCTGGGCCCTCTGTGCACCGTGCTGCCAGGTGCTTGTGTCCAGGGCTGGGGATGCCACACCCTCGATGCTTTCCTGGACTGACGGGCGGTCTCAGGACAGCCAGTCTGTGCGGCCCCCTCTGCCCTCACCTCAAGAGGTCACAGCATTGGCCTGTTTTTGTTTCCTCAGTTAAGCTTTGGAAATTGAGATGTCACTAAGACAGGCAATAGGGAGTAAAACAAAGGCACAGGCAAAAACTAAAGGACATTTTTACCAAATACCCTCAATTTAGAATTACCACCACTTTTCCCATGGACACTCATCACTAATTATTTAAGTTGGGAAAAATATTGAGAAGTACAAGAATAATTCTGTCATCATTCTTTTGGAATTTACTGTGATTCAAGCTTAAAATGTCTTTTTCATGCATTCCATAATCTCATTCTGCAGTGGGAAAACCACTCTCAAATATGTTGCATTTTCAGACCAAGGTTATAAGAAATTGAGAGGGTTATAAGATGTAACAATGAGGCCCACATATTAAATGGCTTGTGTTCCTTGGTCATTCCTATGTGAGTAAGTTCATTGTGAGTGTTACTAAACAGTATCATGTTATGTGTTAGTTCTCGCTGTTGGTATTTTGTAATAAGCATTATCTTTGAAACTAATAAAAATACCTTTGAAATTATCGATATTATTAAGATTGGCCATCACATTTATACCAAACTGGCAAAGTTTTATAAGATGTAAAATAGTCTTTTATACTGTATATTTCTAAGGTACTGTAAATCATGTGTATTGCATGGTTTTTTCCCTAAGACTGATACAATGTACGCCTTTTAAAATGTAATTCTTTGATGAAAACAATGTAGTAGCAAGTTACGGGTTTTAGTTGGCTTCAGTGGCAATATAATTTCAGTGATTTTTTTCATCACTCCTGGATTATACTTGCAGTTACTGCCTTCCACAGGGCAAATAATTGACTGTTGACTGTGTGTGAGCCTCAGATGGGTTAGCTTAATCATCAGGAAAATAGGGCTAAAGAATAATGTACCATTTAAATACTGGCCAGAGTCCCCATCAAGCAGACACTGCCACCCTGGCAGATGCTGCCAGCACGAGACCTGGGAGAGGTCTGGGAGCCACAGGGCAGGATTCTGAGTAGCAGTTAGTGCCCATATATGGAGCGCTTCCTGCACCCAGCCAGTGCTCAGTGGCTGCTGCTGTAGCCTCATTCACTCACAGCACTGCTGCTAAGTTCATGACCAGTGGGAGGGGAGAGAGATGGGAACAAAGAGGCAGTCCTTCAGTCCCCACCCTCCTGCTGTCTGAATAGCATCCTGTATTTCCAGATGTATTTCTCACTGAGTGTTTTGTTTGTCCCCTATGTGATAACATCCTTATCTGTGCTTAGTCGTGTATGCACATGTGAAGACCACTGTCCTCTGGCAGCAGTTCTGAACTGTGTTTTAGTCTGAGGCTGGGCTCCCCCATGTTTCCAGGATAGAGGTGAACAGGGTGTGGGGACCTCTGTGGAGCTGGAGGTCCAAACGTAGAGAGGCCTGCTCCCCCTGAGTACTTCTGGAGGAGAAGCCCTGGAACTCCTGACCTTCACCCTTCACAGAGTGAGCAGAGCCAGTTGGCCAAGGGGAGGAAGCAGGCGGCTGTCGTACCAGCCTCCTTCTCTGGTGCCAGCCATGACTCTCACCTTACAAAGAGAGCAACCCTTTGTGAGATGCAGAGCATGGTAGCACCTGGAGGTATAGGACGGGATGGCATTTATCCACCCATCCATATACCAGTCCATCTACTCATTGTAGTCCATCCATCTGTCCGTCAACCTATCATCCATCTGTTCACTCATTTACCCATCTACCCACCCATCCATCATCCATCCACTCACCCATCCATCCACCCATCTACCCATGCATCCATCATCCATCTCTCCATGCATCCATCATCCATCTCTCCATCTAGTCATCCATCTATCTGCGCATCTACCCATCACCCATCTATTCATCCATCCACCCACCCACCCACCCATCATCACCTATCATCCATCATCCATTCATCCATCCATCCACCCACCCACCCACCCATCATCACCCATTACCCATTATCCATCATCCATCCATCCATCCACCCACCCACCCATCATCCATTCATCCAACCATTCATCCACCCACCCACCCTCATCACCCATTACCCATCATCCATCATCCACCCACCCACCCATCATCCCCCATCATCCATCATCCAGCCATCCACCCACCCACCCACCATCACCCATTACCCATCATCCATCATCCACTCACCCACCCACCATCACCCATCATCCACCCACCCAACCACCCACCATCACCCATCATCCATTCATCCATCCATCTACCCACCCACCCATCATCCATTCATCCATCCATCCATCCACCCATCATCACCTATCATCCATCATCCATTCATCCATCCATCCATCCACCTACCCATCATCACCCATCATCTGTCATCCATCCATCCATCCACCCACCCACCCATCATCACCCATCACCCATCATCTATCCAGCCATCCATCCACCCACCCATCATCACCCATCACCCATCATCCATCCATCCATCCACCCACCCATCATCACCCATCACCCATCATCCATCTATCCATCCACCCACCCATCATCACCCATCACCCATCATCCATCCATCCATCCATCCACCCACCCATCATCACCCATCATCCATCATCCATTCGTCCATCCATCCACCCACCCATCATCACCCATCATCCATCATCCATTCATCCATCCACCCACGCACCCACCCACCCACCCATCATCACCCATCACCCATCATCCATTCATCCATCCATCCACCCATGCACCCACTCATCATCATCCATCATCTGTCTTCCATCCATCCACCCACCCACTCACCCATCACCCATCAGCCATCATCTGTCATCCATTCATCCATCCACCCCCCCACGCACCCACTTCTCTACATTGTTCCGTTCATCCAACAAGTACTCATTACACCCTTCTCTGCATGCTGGCACCAGGGGTTTGAACATGCTTAGGGAAGATGGGGGTAATGGGATGGCAGTGGCAGGGGGCAGCCACAGCTTTCAGGCTTGAGGTTTGTTCTGGAATGGGCCACCTGAAATCCCACTAGGTGCATGAAGAGGATGGATTTATGTGATTTGTCACTGCTGCACTGTATGTGTAGTAGTGGGGAGGGATATTCTCCAGTATCTGGTGAGAAAGGAAGACACCATTCTCTAGCAGTGTCTGCCAGGAGAGGGGCCCAAGTAAGGAAAGTTGAACCCCCAGTGGACAGCAGCGTTATGGATAGAAGGCCCAGATCTCCTAGAACCCGTTGTAATGGCTATGTGTGTACCTTTCACTGCATCTGTGCTGATGGGCCTCGCAGCACAAGAAAGACTCTGCTGCCTGGGCAGGAGCTCCTCTCAGCTACAGGGTGCATTTCAAGCACAGGTGCATACACTCTAGGTTAACAGTTGAAATTCTAAAGTAAGCATGTAGAAGTAGATTTGTGAAATTGCACTTGAAATACCATGGAAATTGGATCCAAAGCAGATTGAACAGTGCCAATTCTTAGTGCAGTTATAAGTGTTAATATTGAAAATAAAGTTTACATCGTTGTCTTTTTTTTCCCTTTGATTCCAGAAAATTAACTACAATTTTCAAATAAGCAGGAACTTACTTAGGTTGTGTTAAGTAGAGCAAAGTGGACAGTCTTTCAAATGCATTGCTGCTGCGTTTGCACTGTGAAGGACGGAGCAACTTCACGAAGGCAGGGCCCTGTGAAGGTTTGTGCTCTCGTGTGCCGGCTCTGACCTGTGATTTTGTTGCTGGATGTCTCCTTCAGCAGTTCATGTGGCTTTCTAAAGCTTGCCATTGCTTAGGCATGCCTGACTGAGGCGGGAAACAAGCGTGTGGATCAGTGTGGCTCTGTATGTGTGAACATGTATGGACATATGTGCATAGGGTGGGGGTAACGAGGGAGAGGGACAAGAAGGGCCAGGGCTTGTGACCACATCAGAAGCAAGGGTGATGCTCTGTGGCACAGCTGGCCCTCGAAGTCACTCAGGGACCTAGGTTTCTTCCATCCTTAAGCTCTGTTCTCTAACAGAAGTCACCCTGGCAGTTGCTTCTAGTCCAGCAATAGAAAGGTGAGAAAGAATACAGAGAAGCACGCAGGAAGCTGTGTGAGTTGGCCCAGATGCAGTGGCACACACCACAAATTGCACAGCACCCCCACAGGAGGCGAGCCTGTGTCCTTGCCCATCACCTCTTTCCAGCTGGTGTCCAGACCTCGGGGTGATCACTGATTGTTGTTTCGTTGGTCTGGCTGTGGCTCTTCTTGGGCCAGCAGCCTGGGAGCCACACAGGGACAGGGTAACTGCGATAAAATACAATTATGCAGGAGAGGAGGCGGAAGGGCCCAGCCTGGCCCTGTCTGGCCAGCTTCCTGCACCCTGCACAGCAGGGAGCATCCTCATTCTCCAGACCCTGATTCTTCTCGGGTTGGGGCGGGAGGGGGGAACTCCCTTGTCCATTGTTCTCTCAGCCACTGGCCTCATCCTTTGGGGGTTCTTTCTGATCATCGCCTCCAGAGTCCCATCTGAAGAGGGTATCAGTGTAGAACACAGTGAGGCAGAATGTGGAAGCAAACGGGACCATCTGGAAGTTTTGCTCTAGGCCTTATAAAACACATAATTTGTTAGGTGTAAAATATATAGTATGTTGTAGTAGTGATAATAGGATGGAATAAATGCCTTAGATTTGCAAAATTGGGTCAGAGAGTTTAGGGATCTTTGGTCCTGTACCAGTGACATCATTTTGTGGCTCTTGGGGATTTGGGGAGGGACCTCCCCGAGGCCACTGTGCAGCAGCCTCATGCCCAGGGCTCACAGGTCCCATATGTGTTTCCTCCACCAAAGCACCCTGAGCTGTCCTACCTTCCTCACATCCCCACACCCCGCGGGTGTCCCTCTGCTTAGCAGCTATTTATTCTGCCTGTATTTGGGCCAACTGCACAGGCTGTCTGAGACCTGACAGTATGCTAGAATGTACAGGGCATACAATATTTTGTGTAATATCATGGAAAAGTGTGCCGTTCTTTCGGTTGACGGTGGTTGCAGATAAGACTGCAGAGACAGCTTGTGGTGGGTTGGAGTGTGACTCAGTCTCCCGTGGGTCTGCTCCCCTTCCAGACTGCATGTGGAATTCTGTATAGAGTAAGGCATATTCGTGTATGTGGGAGGGAGGCTTAGAATAAAATTTATTTTTTTTCTTATGGAAGCAGTACATGTTCATTGTAAGAATTCGGAAACATAGATACAAAATAAACTTTATGAAAAAGCAAAGGTGATCATCTGCATTAGTCTGTTTTCACACTGCTAATAAAGACTGAATAATTTATAAAGTAAGGTTTAATTGACTCACCGTTCCACATGACTGCAGAGGCCTCTCAATCATGACGGAAGATGAAGGAGGAACAAAGGGACGTCTTATATGGCAGCCAGCAAAGAGAGAAATGAGAACCAAGCGAAAGGGGAAACTCCTTTTAAAAAGTCAGATCTCATGAGACTTCTTCACTACCACGAGAACAGTATGGGGGAAACTGCACCTGTGATTCAATTATCTCCCACTGGGTCCCTCCCACACTCGTGGGAATTATGGGAGCTACAATTCAAGACGAGATTTGGGTGGGGACACAGCCAAACTATATCATCATCCTTGAAGCTAAATCTTTGAATGGGAGCAAAACCATAATAATTTTCTTCCAATTCGTAGTACTAGAATTAGATTTAGAAGTGTTTAAGGCTTTATATTTTTGTCTTACTATGACCAGGGGCTCAGTAATGCCTTACTTCTGCCTTGGAGGATGATGTGAGCATACAAGAGGGGTGGCCGCATCCCTCCAGCTTCATTCCTGGTGTCCAATGGGAGGCGAATAGGCCCCTTTGCACCTCTTAACCACCATAGTCCTCTCCCATTGCCAGCCTCTTCTGACTTTTGGGATTGTTTTACCCTCTGGACAGCAGTGTGAACAAGGTATGTCAGGCCAAGGGGGCTGCTCCCCATGGGAGGCCTGGCCGTGTTGGCTTCCAAGAGGCCAGATGGGTGCTGCTCACCATAGAAAGTGACCCTTTTCCCTGTTCCTGAGCCAACCTGTCACTTCCATGCGCTGTGTGTCACTTTGAAAACTATCTTTGCTTTCTGCAAAATGAAAGGAAACTTTCAAAAGTCAACGTATTAAAGCCTGTTTGCATTTATTCTTTTATGAATTTTGCTCACATTTTTTAATTGGGTGTTTGTCTAAAGACAATTATCGATCATAGTAGGCTGCTGGAAGGTTGACCACAGAAACCTGGTTCTCTTTCAGGGAGGTCACCATGTCTGCCTCCAGGCCCATCGGGTAGGGGCTGCCTTCTGTCAAGGCACATGCTCCAGGTCCCTTAGATGGAAGGAAAACACATGGTCTTTATCCAGTGGACTCAGGGTGCAGGTAACTGAAGGAATTAACCTCCATCATTTTCACAGATCCTCGTAGAGCTGGACCGAAGGAGGTGGGAGATCCCTGCCGGGAGCCGCTGCAGTGGGAGGGCTTACAGACGTTCGCATAGTCTCTTTCTGTTTGGTTGTTTTAACTCCCATTAAAAGGAGTGGCTTTCAGCCTTCTTGCTTACTGTCTTGTGATGTATGTGTGTTCACATGTTCCATGCACATTTGTAACGCTCACCATGCTCTCTGATTCAGCTTTGTTCCCTTAGAGTTGCCCCAGCACTGCTTTGCCATGATGATTGTGTTTTTTAAAATACTTCCAGTTGCTTACTTCTGTTTAGTTATCTCAGTGCTAAATATTGTTAATTAATTAAATATAAGCAGCATGTTCTAGATTTTATGTGTCTGGAATTCTTACTAAAAATCTTCCTGGATATGACTTCCAGTCATAACGTTATGGATTTTATTGTAAACAAGGTAGAATTTTATTTGCCTTTTAATCATTTCATTATGGTGAGTGTCCTCCTTACAGAGCGTGTACTGAATTTGGGTTTTACTCCTTTTTTGTTCATTTCCACAAGTTGAACTCTGTGTTATTATCCTATTTTCTGTTAGGGTCATTGTGTTGTTAAGTAATCGACTTACATAGAAGGTGTGCACCTAGAAGGTTAACAGAAAACAAGTTGAAACATGACTGAAAATATATTTCTGTAAGAATTACTGTAATTCTTCTGAGAGTATAAATAGCCAGGGTTTTAAAGATCTGCTTTATAGGATTTATACTGCAAATAACTTGGCAGGATTA